>NC_000022.11:37042897-37194412 GCF_000001405.40 Homo sapiens | reverse complement strand
AATCACTGTTTGTCTCTCCTGCAAGGAATTTGATTAATACGAAAAAGAATTCATGGGGGCTAGTCTTAAGCTTTAGAAAATCTGGTGTACTTAGTGCTATGAATTTTTCTTTCTGTGTCAGTCTGTCATAAAAAGAGGTACTATAGGATAGAATGTGGGCCTAGGACCCATATAAGCCCATTATTCAAGTTGGCCCAGCAAACTCGTCAGTTACAAACTTGGCGGCAGGTCCCTGAAACAAAAACTAGATGAGGTTTCTGTCTTGTCTTTTTTTTTACGTCCTTGCAAGTTTAACCTTGTGACCGTGTGGGAGTACTTTCTCTTAGTCTCCACCATCCAGACGACAGGAAGCTGGGGCTTCATGTGATAGCCCTAAAAATTGTCCTGAGCAGTTAAAAGCCTTTGCACGCTTGAAATTGGCTTCTCTGGGCTCCTTCCAGGAAGGAAAACAGAAACTGTCTAGTGCCGTGGCTCAGTAGCTAAGGCTTTGTCTCTTCACACTGGGGACCCAGGTTCAATTCCCACCTTAGGGAATGAGTCCTTTCTGGTTTAATATCTATGTGACCTTTGCCATTTATTCATTTTCTTCTCCATAAACAGCTTCTGACTTCTCGTTTGAATTTTCCTTTCTCTGCACTACCCTTGGCGATTCTAGATCTCGTAAAAACTGCTTATCACCTCTTTGAAAATACCTTGTATACCTGGGTTAAGTGCTAACCTTAGTTAAGGCTTACCGGTTTCACCTGGGAGGTTACTGTTAGTGAAGTTCAAAAGCCAGAAATATTGGCTGTTTGTCCCGGCTAGAGTCTGGTAACAAGATTTGGTTAAAAGTCAGCTTAATTAAAAATGGATATCCAAGCTATACATATATTTAAAAGGCCTTTATGCTTTTTTTTCTCTTCTTGGCTCTTATTTTTCTGAAAAATTTTTTCTTTTCAGTCGACTTAATTTTTTTCCCCATTTTGTCTTCTTGCCACTCTTGATGCCCCACCTGAGAGGACCTAAGATAAATTTTAATAGCCTGGGACTTCTCAGGAAAAAAGGAGGTGCTACAGACCCTGTTTTGGGAGAAACCTCTGTTCTCCTCATGGACACCCCCAGGAATTGAAAGCAGATAGACCACTCTCAAAATCTAAGGCTCTGCTCTGTTTTGTATTGTGTTATCTGACAGTTTTGACTTTTGGGGATATCAGAAATTACTTTGCATTTTAAGAGAGCTTTTAGCCTTGCTATGTAATAACTAGGTGGGGAATACACTTTTAGGGATGGCTAATGGCAGTTTTGTGGGGATACTTGGCTCTTCGCACCTTTGGATCAGAAAAGCATGCTCTTGGCCACCTAGAAAGTATGGAAGTGTCCCCACCCTCCATTGAAAGATAAGACTGCCATGGGGGATGGGCTGATTCCCTCTCTTTGGGATCCAGGATCCAATATAAAAATGAAACCCTTAATTTTGGGGTTCTGTTTTGCCTTCCAGCTGTGCCTGCTTATTAGGCCTTAGAAACTGCAGGCTTTCCTGGCCCTGTTTCTTGAAGGGCTCCACCCTGAAGTCAGTAATCCAATTAAGAAACTTAAAAATTGGCAAATGAAAAATCTTACAACTACTGGATCTTCTGTCTGTGTATTTATATATGTTGTGTGTGTGATGTTGATATATGAAAGAGCTCTGATTAATTGGCTTAAAAATAATAAGTACTTAAATCAAATATTTTGTCAGAAAAATAGAAACATTAATGCCTTTTGGTTCACATGACTTTAATAATCTTTGGGAAATAGAGACAGTTTTAAAGATTATCAGTAACATTAAAATATCTTCAAACTTTAGACATTTGGTCTAAATTAGGCAGGTCAGATTTTAGGTTTGCTAAATGCCTCAAGGTCATAAACTGCATCATTGACTTTTGAAAATTGCCCAGCTTACCTGCTTTGGGGCCATTAGATTCTAGATAAGGCCTGGGGACTTGTCGAGTTAGCCATGCCCCCAGCTATGCTGGAAAGAGTCAGACCTTATCTGCACTTCTGCAGATAAGGCTGTCCTAGGCTCCACACCTGGAATATAAGTAAAACTGCTTACTTACCAGGTTTTTCACCAAAAAATAAAAGTTGCTAAGAGTTAACATCGTAATATGTTATATGTAATTGAGACTACTAGAGAAACAGTTTTATATGCAAGGTGTGTAAGGAAAATTGAATATGCTTTTGGTAAGAAGATTATAAGAAAGCATGGGAATGTGGACTTTCCCCCTACTTTAGAGGGTTAAAGGATTGTTTCAAGTTAGGTAGGATAAAGCTGAAGGTTTGAGCAAGTTATGGAAGGTTTGTGAAAGATTAATCTTGTAAAAGAAATTCTGTGTGAACTTATTGGCTTAAATTAAAGGGATATTATTCAGTTTTTCCATAAATTAAATATGGAATAAAAGTATAACAAGGTTTTCTTAGAGCACTGGTATACTCTTTAACAAGAAAATTGTAAAGAGCTATAAAAGGTTTATGAGACTCTTACCTCATGGTCAAACATTAAAATTGGATAGAGTTGTCTATAAGGCTTTATTATGAATTGGGTTTGACATTAATAGTACACAAATGCAAAGGTAAAATTTGGCTTTCTCTCTTGAACAAGTTTTTCATGTAATATTGAAAAATAATTAAAGATTTTTGTTTGCCTTTTGAATAAGCTATAGAAAAAAGAAAGGAACGAAAAGAGACAGTTTTTTTTGGAAAGCTAAGTCTTCCCTTTATCGGTGAGTAAAGGTTTTTGCCCTTAAAAACATCTTTGAGTTATCATTTTGGCCAAATAAATGACTTATGGTGACCTGGGATGCTATTTTGTAGTATCAAATGTTTTAAATTTTTGATATTTGACAAACTTTCCAAAATCAAATTCTAAGTTATGCCTTTTTCTAACCTGATTAGTCCTTTAGATATTAGGTCCCCTAAAGTCCAAAAATGACATATTTGGCTTATTTGGTACATTAAAATAATACAGGAAGCATTGTCAAATATGAAATTGTGTTTGGCTTTCTTTGGGCTGTGTTTATATAAATATGTTATTGGTATGTGTTCCAAAATTATGGGAAACTCCTATAATTCTGATATGAACATTATCAATACTAATGGACATTATCAATAATAATTATAATTGTTATGATGTTAATTTATTATATGCCACAGAGGTATCCACATTTCCTAGTCAATGATATTAATTCTTTAACCATGACTGCTCTAAGTCTTTCTGTCATCCATAGACAATTGTTGTCTTGCTTTTATTCTCTTCAAAAGGTGGTTTATAATCAGCTATAGGACTCTGATGAGTACTCTTAAATGCAGAGAAAAAGAAAACATCATCCAAGACTCTTGGAAAACTAACACATATATATCAAGCAAAACAGGAATTAATTGCATAGACTGAACTAATAAAAGACTGAAATAATCTTTTATGACTTTTTGCTTAAAATGTTGTTGATCTTTCTGTTTTGTTTTTCAGAGTCAAGAAACCCCCCCTTCTTGAGCTATTTACAGCTTTTAACAATTGAGTAAAGTACGCTCCGGTAAGGATTATAAAACAAAGTTTTGTCCAAAAACAAAATTTGGAATATGTTTTTTTCTCTTTACCTGATTTCTGCAGAATTTGGAAACTATTTGTGAGTGTTCTTAACTTACGGCAATATAGTTATTTGCATAAGTGCAGTAAGAATCTGTTTTTCCTTCTTTCTTCTTTTTTTTTTTTTGTAACAGGACACAATTGGAGAAACTGGTTATTTAACAAGGGTTTGACTCGAGTGGCATGCTTTCAAATATAAACAGACTTCTTTAAGGAATTAAAGTTGACTAATAGAGCCAATAAAAGCCTCTTGGAAAAACTGGTCTTGTACCTTGTGTATGAAGTCCCTGTATAGGGTTCCTGACCTGTGGTAAGTAAAGAATGTAACTTTCTGACAGGCCTGGGAGCCCCGAGTTATCTCGGGACCTCAAGAGGAGAGGAATTTATCTAACTCATACAGGTTCTTGCAGGCATAGGTAAATCCATGGCTGGGCTCAAAGCTTTAAAACATCTAATCTAAGATACCTTATGAAACAAAGCCAATTTTAAAAGGAGCCTGTATGGCAAATAATTATACTTGCTGCACTTTATGCAAATAATGAAGCCAAGTATAATAAGACTAAAGCTTATTTTGCAAATAAATTGGTCCTACCATGATTTGTTTTTAATAAAAAATGGGAGACTGGAGAGAGAAAAACGGTGTTTCAAAAAATATGGTACACCTGTCATAGATTCTAGTCTCATCCATTGTTTTTGAGTTTTTTGTCTGCAATTTAGACTGACCTTGCTTCTTTCTGTGAACCAAACAGTCATCTCTTGACTGCTTCTCGTCAGAAACAAGAGGGATGGATAACATAAAAATCTGGATCAGTATCTAATTCTGAGCATGTATTGGAATCGTCTAGCAACTCCGTATCAGCTCATCTAGCAATTCCTGTGACTAAGAATGCCTAACCTCCTGGGAATGCAGCCCAGTAGGTCTCAGCCTCATTTTACCCGATAAGTCACAGGCATTCTTGCCCAGTTCATGGAAAGCCTTCTTATTTGGATTACTTGGGATAATTTTACTTATTTTACTTTGCTGTTGTAGAATATATTGCTGCTATACTCTTTGTGTAAGAATGCAAGATAAGCTTACTCAGTGCTTCCTTAAATTGAACACATTAATCTTCCAGATATCACCTTTTGTTAGGACTCAGAGTTACAAATGACTCTGAACACACCAACATTTTCTTACTCAGTTCCTCTCTGCACCAAACCCAAGAGACTCTAATAGTTAGGCAGGAATATCATCGCCTCTATTCAGCCTGAAGAAGTTACAGAAGATGGATCTTCATGCCTCTACAACCCTTAAGATTAAACGTTCCCTCGTAAAAGAGAGTAGGGAAATATGTCAGAGGTGTTCAAAATAGGGCAACTCCATCTTGAATAGGGGCTGGGTAAAATGAGGCTAAGACCTGCCAGGCTGCATTCCCAGGAGGTCAGGCATTTGTAGTCACAGGAAGGGATAGGAAGTTGGCAGGACTGGTATCACAAGATACAGGTCATCAAGACCCTGCTGAGAAACAGTATGCGGTAAACAAACCAGCCAAAACCTGCCAAATCTAAGATTGCAATGAAAGTGACATCTGGTCATCCTTATTGCTCATTGTATGTTAATTAAAATGTGTTAGCTTGCTAAAACACACTTCTACCAGCACCAAGACAGCCTACAAATACCATGGCAATGTCCGGAAATTACCCTATATTGTCTAAAAGGGGGAGGAAGCCTCAGTTTCAGGAAATTCCCACCCCTTTCCTGGAAAACTCATGAATAATCCACCCCTGTTTAGCATAGGATCAAGAAATAACTATAAAAATAGCCAACTAGCAGTGCTTGGGGGTGCTCTGCCTATGGAGTAGCCATTCTTTTGTTTCTTTGCTTCTCTAATAAACTTGCTTTCACTTTGCTCTGTGGACTTACCCCAAATTCTTTCTGGTGCAAGATCCAAGAATTCTCTCTTGGGGTCTGATCAGTACCCCTCTCTGGTAACACTTGCATGATACCTGAGGAGGTCAGCCTGGTCATTCACCCAACAAACATGGGTTAAGCCCTCCCATGTGCCTGGCACAAAGGGGGCTGAGGACTGCAGTTCTGGAACACCTAGGCTCTGAGAGGCGACGCGACTGTGGTAGCAGGGCCAGGATTCTAGCCTGTGCCTGGAGGGCCAACACCTGCACCTTCTCTGCTACCCACCCTGCCTCTGTGACTCAGAGCAGTTAAGCACTTTAGCTCAGGGTGGACTCAGGGCTGCCTCCCCCTTCCTGAGCAACCTAGGGGCTCCTGTGCCCCATGCCTGTGTCCATTTCCCAATCATCAGGGGGCCTCAGACTCCTGCCTGCTCTGACTTTCTAGGCCTTTGAATCAAGCAAGACCCCACTGGATCACCAAAGAGTTAAGCAAAGGAAATCCCTGCCTCCCTTTATCTCCGCAGAACCCAGAGGCTGAAAGGGAGGGAGCAGGGAGGAGGGGAAGTGGGAAGCGGCTCTGCCCTCTCCCTCCGCCCTCCCTCCGCCCTCTCTCCCTCCATCCCCTCCTCTCTCCCTCCTCTGCTGGGCCTGGGGGTCTGGGCCAGCAACAAGTTAGTATTGCAGACATGGGCCAAGGAGCCAGAGGCCATGCAGTGGCTCAGGGTCCGTGAGTCGCCTGGGGAGGCCACAGGACACAGGGTGAGTGACCAGAGGCTCCTCAAGCTTGGGGGCTGGGGTCAGAGCCTGGAATTCCTCTCCTCCCTCCTTGCTTCCTGGAAGCATCTCGGGCCCTGCTCTCTCCCTCTGACTGGGACAGCCTCTCCAGGCTCTCCCCTCCACATTTCCTCCTGCCTCTGGCTGAGGGCTGCGCTCCACTGCTCCCGGTTTGTGCCCGCCCCTACCCGGGCACACACAAACTCAGCTCTGCACGGCCTGCCTGGACCGAGAAAAGTTGCCCTGCCGCTCCCTCCCCAAAGAGGTCCCAGTGGAAGCAGCAAGGACCCCAAAAGTCCTCCCTATGACTTGGTTCCCACACTTGGTCCCTGCCTGGCACCCACCCCCAGAGCTAGTTCGTGATCCTGGCTGTGGTTATGATTCCTCGTTAACGGCTTCCTGATTCCTGCTCCCAGGCCACGGTTCTGTGTCTCACAGCCTTTGACTCCCATCCGCTGGGGCCAATAGGAAACAGAAATGCTCCCAAACCATGCCAGTCCTCTGGGAGAAGTTCTCCTTCCCATCCCATGCAGGCACAGGGAAGAAGTCAAAGCACACTTTTTTTTTTTTTTTTAAGTCTTTTATAAGGCAGGCACTTTTCCTGCATTGAAATCCTTCCAAATTACCTGGGAGGGAAAGGGTGGTGTCATTTCCTTGTAAGTATCAAGGAGCAGGAAGCCCAGAGAGGTTCAGCCACTAGCCCTAGGTCACACAGCTTGCAAACTATTCTGGGTCTCAGATTTGACTCTAAGACCTCAGCTTTTCTCATGAGGTCATATCTGTGGCTGGGAAAAAGAAGGGAATTTTGGGATTTCCAAAACCACTGGGATTTGTCATTTATAAGTAAAAGTTGAGGATGACAGTCTCAGACAGGGAGGATGTTGATCTCTGAGGATTTGACCTCCTTATTGAGCAGAACCAGGAACCCAACCAGGGTGGGCAGAGAGAAGCTTGGGAAGAGTCACCTCCAGGAAGAGGGAGGTGGCTCTGGAGACTTCCTGTCCAGCCCCCTTCTCCTGCTGCTACCATCCAGCTCTGGGGGTGGGGGGCAGGGCTCCTGCCGCTTTATTTATTTTTAGTTTTAATTTTTGAAAAATAGAGACAGGGTCTCACTATGTTGCCCAGACTGGTCTCGAACTCCGGGACTCGAGTGATCCTCTCTCCGTGGCCTCCCAAAGTGCTGGGATTGCAGGAGTAAGTCACTGCACCTGGCCATCCTGCCCCTTTAAAACTCTGCCCTCACCTCAGTGCTCAGCTGAGACAGGGTGGCATTTTAAAAAGTAATAATTGTACCTTGTCTACATGTATTAACCACAAAAAAAATATTTTTGAATTCTACTAAATGTTAAAGGAGAACAAAAAGGAAATAAACAAAGAAACGCCAGAAGTGTAAAAACCAGTCTGGTTTCAAAAGCAGAGTTTCTGATCCTGTGATAACTCGGCACCAGCCCCCAGAAGCTGCACCACCTCAAAGGTCTTTTTGCCCGGCTTCCTGCCCACCCAACCCAGGACTGTCTCTAGCGCCTGGTGTCCAGGCTACTTCCTGCCTCTCTCCTGGAGCCCTAGACCCCTTCTTGGCCAAGGCCAGAGACAGATCCTCACCAACACTTACACTTTTCTGATCCTTTAGAATTTTTTATACCTCCTAGTCCTACCCCTTAATTCCAATTTACCACCTTGGCATCTGATTGGCAGGTCTACGATGATTGACACAACCATCTTCCAATGAACTAACTCTCTCTACAGAACCCTCCCTGCAGGGCTTCTGGATAAGGTTGGGTTGCATAGATAGTTGACTGCACAAAGGTGCTGAGCAGGGAGGTGGACTAGCGCCAGCCCTTGCCAAGCTGCACACCCTCAGCATCACGTCCCTCCAACGGGGACTCTTATCATTTCTAATTTGTCCAGAGGGGCACCTTCTTTGCTTTGCACAAAGGCACTCTAAAGACTAGCAATGGGCTGCAGTCAAGGACCCAGTATTCCTTCTCCTGACTGCTCAGCGATGCAATGACACCATCACCGCGCACCACCCCACATGCTCTCATGGACGTTGCTTTCTGTCTGCTAGGATCAATGAACTCTCTTATCTCTTTTTTTTCAGAACTATGGTGTTCTCACACCAAAGCATGGGCTCGGCCACCCATCCCCTCTCCTGAGAACAAGCCTCCAGAACCCTCCACGTTTGTCCCCAGTGTTCACTAACCTCAGTCCTCCTGCCCGGAGGGCATGTGTTTGCTGGAGATAGTGGAGTCGGTGGCAAGAAAGTGCCAGAGGGAGGTGCGCGGGCGGGAAAGCATCTGACGGTCTCCTGGGTTGCCACCCATGGCCAGCTGGGGCATCTTCTCACCTGCCCCAGCAAAGCTTCCTGGGATCCCTGTCTGCTCTCAGCTGTGGCTGTTTTCAGAGGGGCTTCATCCTTCCAAGGCCTGTGTGGAGCAGAAGCCTCCATGGACTGGGTGCCCGGAGACTCAGCATGCAGGCCCTGCCCTGCCAGTCTCCTCCCGATCTTGGGGAACTTGCTGCTCTGTGGAGGTCTCAGTCTTCTTGTCTGATAGATGGGGACAATAACCTTCCCTCTGGAGTTAGGTCAGGAGTGCTGTGGCTGGAGGACGCAGCACCCGCCCACCCCAGGCATCGGCACATAGTAGATGTTGAGTGAAGTATAGTTCCTGTCCCTCCTTCCTTGTTCCAGGTCACCATGGGGACAGCCGCCCTGGGTCCCGTCTGGGCAGCGCTCCTGCTCTTTCTCCTGATGTGTGAGATCCCTATGGTGGAGCTCACCTTTGACAGAGCTGTGGCCAGCGGCTGCCAACGGTGCTGTGACTCTGAGGACCCCCTGGATCCTGCCCATGTATCCTCAGCCTCTTCCTCCGGCCGCCCCCACGCCCTGCCTGAGATCAGACCCTACATTAATATCACCATCCTGAAGGGTGAGTGCCCTCCTGTGGGGCCTGGTAGTGGGCAGGGAGGGCCAGGGAGCTGAGGTGGAGGGAGTAGAGGGCAGGGCGGAAACCTGTCCAGACTCCTCTTTCATCCTGAGTTATTGAGCCCCAATGTGAGCCTGGTCTGTTCCAAACACTGATGACGGAGCGTGAACAAACCAGACCAAGATGCCTCCTGCCTGAGCACCCGTTCTCGGTGGGGAGATGGGCTGTGAGCAAGGCACACATCACCTAAGTTAGTGGAGTGGAATGTTCGATGGTGATCAGTGCTCTGGGAAATGAAAAGGGGCTTCAGGAGTGCGGGTCTGGGCTGCAGGCTGCATATTGAATGAGGTGGTCAGTGGAGGACCCATGGAGCACAGGCTTCTAAGAGGTGGTGGAGGAGCCTCCTGGCAAAGGGCACAGCTGGTGCAGGGGCCCTGGGGCAGGGCCGGGAGATGCACCAGGCTCAGATCACATGGGGTGCTGTCACCACCCGGCTACTGTAGGGACTTGGGCTCCGCTGAGTGGAGTGGGAACAGGGGCAGGTTTGGGTGGGACAGGGACTTGATCCCACCCAGGTTTCAAATGGATCCCTCTAATGTCATGTGGAGAGCAACCAGCGGGGGCCGAGGGTCGGAGCATGCAGCCCTGTGGGGCCTGTCCAGGTGAGGGCCATCCAGGTGAGGGCTGTCCAGGTGAGGGCTGTCCAGGTGAGGGCCCGTCCAGGTGAAAGGCATCCAGGTGAGGGCCGTCCAGGTGCGGGCTGGCTACCCGCTCTCTCAATAGGACGTGGAAGGACTCGCTTCCCTTCCAGGCTGTGGTGGCTGACGGCTGTGACCAGGCCTTGACATCCTTAGCGTCCGTCTCTGCCCACAACAGCCCGTGAGGTCGATATTTTCTTATTCCTCCCACTTTGCAGATGGGGAAACCCAGTCTCCTGGGGCCACACAGCTGTCAGGGATGGAGCCAGGATTTGTTCCTGAGCTCTCCCCGGGGACACTCACTGCACAGCCAGTGGTCACCTGGCACCTGGCCTGCCCTTGTTCTGATTTCGTGGTGAGGACGTTGCTCTTCCTCACACCCCCCTCCCCACCCAGCTTCCCCAGGGCTGACTTAGCTCTCTGCATGAGGTTGGAGAGGTGCCTGGCTGCTGATGGTCCCTCCTCATTGCCCTCCCCAAACCCAGGGTCACTGCTCCTGGGCCCAGCTCAGCAGCCTGCTGGGAGGTGGGTAGGCTGCCGTGAGGGACCTCGGGCTGGCTTTGGGAGTCCTGGGTCCCAGCCTCACCTCTTCTGCCCCCTTGCCCAGTGAGTCAGGCTGGTCTCTCCCCCGCCCTGAGCTTGCTGCCTTATTTGTAAAAAGAAGATAGTCCCTTCGTCCTGTCCACCCTCCACTCCTTCCTTTCCTTGGGCTGGGGCACAACAAACTTCCTGCACAAGGTCTAGAGCTGTGCAGGTGAGGACGTGGTTCTCCAGCCAGGCGGTGGAGCCAGAACCCTGCAGAGCTGTGGCCTTGCCCTGCCCAGCTCTCTGGGCTTCCACCTCAAGGGCCTGTGCCCTCCTTTCTGTCCCCTTCCCCCCCTGTGGAAAACACAGGGCCTTCTAGCCCATGCAAGGATGTGGTTGCTCGTGTGACTCCAGGCACTGTGACAGGTGGCAGGGAGCTATGTGAGGTCGGGTCCCTCCAGGCGTGGGTGGTCACCTGCTTTTCTTATGTTGAAAGTCAGCCTGGACTAAGGGCCGGGCAGGGCTGTGCCTGCCTGGGGGCCATTGTAGATGCTGCCAGACCTCAGAGCAGGTCGGGATGGGCCAGCCGTGCTGGGTGAACTGTTCTGCCTCTTAGTTGCAGAGTTTGCAAAGTGCTTTCCCACAGGACATTTTGTTGAGGGCTCACAAACACCCCTGAGGTGGACATAATCCTCTTTAAAATATAGACCAGAAAACCGAGACCCCAGCCGTGGAGTGCCCGAGGTCACACAGGGCAGGACTGCCAACCAAGGGCTTCCTGGCTCCTAACCTGGGCTTTTCCTCCAGGTGGGCAAATGTATTTTTCTTGGTTTCTTCCCTGGGTCAGAAACCCAAAGTATGTTCCAGCACACCCCACATCCCTGCCAGCCTGGACTGCGCTGTGGTCCTGGGGTGGGGGCCTGGGCCTGGCCTCCCAGAGACACCAGTCGGACCCTCCCTGCTGGGTGAGGGGAAGTCAAGTCACCCTGGGGACAGACCATATTTTAAGTCCTGCCTCTTCTGCTCCTGCACTGTGTGGCCCGGGGTGAGTCACTCACCCTCTCTGTGAAGTGAAGACGGTCATGATGTTTTCTTTAGGCAGGCATGTGGGGAGGCAATGTCTGGCATACAGTAGGTGCTAAATAAATGCTGGCTTCTTCTCTGGGCCAGGACAGGGGCAGAGCCGTCACAGATGAGTGTGGGCACCTCCTTGGAGCAGGCTCAGATGTCCACCCTGACTTGTCCCCTTTTTATCCCCACAGGTGACAAAGGGGACCCAGGCCCAATGGGCCTGCCAGGGTACATGGGCAGGGAGGGTCCCCAAGGGGAGCCTGGCCCTCAGGGCAGCAAGGGTGACAAGGGGGAGATGGGCAGCCCCGGCGCCCCGTGCCAGAAGCGCTTCTTCGCCTTCTCAGTGGGCCGCAAGACGGCCCTGCACAGCGGCGAGGACTTCCAGACGCTGCTCTTCGAAAGGGTCTTTGTGAACCTTGATGGGTGCTTTGACATGGCGACCGGCCAGTTTGCTGCTCCCCTGCGTGGCATCTACTTCTTCAGCCTCAATGTGCACAGCTGGAATTACAAGGAGACGTACGTGCACATTATGCATAACCAGAAAGAGGCTGTCATCCTGTACGCGCAGCCCAGCGAGCGCAGCATCATGCAGAGCCAGAGTGTGATGCTGGACCTGGCCTACGGGGACCGCGTCTGGGTGCGGCTCTTCAAGCGCCAGCGCGAGAACGCCATCTACAGCAACGACTTCGACACCTACATCACCTTCAGCGGCCACCTCATCAAGGCCGAGGACGACTGAGGGCCTCTGGGCCACCCTCCCGGCTGGAGAGCTCAGGTGCTGGTCCCGTCCCCTGCAGGGCTCAGTTTGCACTGCTGTGAAGCAGGAAGGCCAGGGAGGTCCCCGGGGACCTGGCATTCTGGGGAGACCCTGCTTCTATCTTGGCTGCCATCATCCCTCCCAGCCTATTTCTGCTCCTCTCTTCTCTCTTGGACCTATTTTAAGAAGCTTGCTAACCTAAATATTCTAGAACTTTCCCAGCCTCGTAGCCCAGCACTTCTCAAACTTGGAAATGCATGCGAATCACCCGGGGTTCGTGTTAAATGCAGATTCTGACTCAGCAGGTCTGAGTGGGTCCAGGATTCTGTGTTTCTCATATGTTCCTGGGTGATGCTGATGGGGTCAGTCTATGAACCACACTGGAGCAACCAGGTTCTAGGACTTTCTCAATATTCTAGTACTTTCTGAACATTCTGGAATCCTCCCCACATTCTAGAATTCTCCCAACATTTTTTTTTCTTGAGACAGAGTCTTGCTCTGTTGCCCAGGCTAGAGTGCAGTGGTGCAATCTCAGTTCACTGCAACCTCTGCCTCCCGGGTTCAAGCGATTCTTCTGCCTCAGCCTCCCTAGTGGCTGGGATTACAGGCGCCTGCTACCATGCCTGGCTAATTTTTGTATTTTTAGTAGAGATGGGGTTTCACCATATTGGCCAGGCTGGTCTTGAACTCCTGACTTCAGGTGACCCACCCGCCTCGGCCTCTCAAAATGCTGGGATTACAGGTGTGAGCCACCGTGCCTGGCCAATTCCAACATTCTTAAATTCTCTCATCCCTCCAGGGCTCCCCGTGCTATGTTCTCTTTACCCCTTCCCCCTCTTCTCTTGCTCAGGCCTGCACCACTGCAGCCACCGTTCATTTATTCATTCATTAAACACTGAGCACTCACTCTGTGCTGGGTCCCGGGAAGGGTGAGGGGGTCAGACACAGGCCCTGCCCCTGCCCTCAGTGACTGGCCAGTCCAGCCCAGGCGGGGAGAGATGTGTACATAGGTTTTAAAGCAGACCCAGAGCTCATGGGGGCCTGTGTTCTGGGTGTTCAGGTGCTGCTGGTCCTCCATTACCCACTGCTCCCCAAGGCTGGTGGGACGGGGTCCCGGTGGCAGGGGCAGGTATCTCCTTCCCGTTCCTCATCCACCTGCCCAGTGCTCATCGTTACAGCAAACCCCAGGGGGCCTTGGCCAGGTCAAGGGTTCTGTGAGGAGAGGACCCAGGAGTGTGGGGGCATTTGGGGGGTGAAGTGGCCCCCGAAGAATGGAACCCACACCCATAGCTCTCCCCACAGCTGATACGGCATCCTGCGAGAAGACCTGCCCTCCTCACTGGGATCCCCTTCCTGCCTCCTCCCAGGGCTCTGCCAGGGCCTTGCTCAGTCCCTTCCACCAAAGTCATCTGAACTTCCGTTTCCCCAGGGCCTCCAGCTGCCCTCAGACACTGATGTCTGTCCCCAGGTGCTCTCTGCCCCTCATGCCCCTCTCACCGGCCCAGTGCCCCGACTCTCCAGGCTTTATCAAGGTGCTAAGGCCCGGGTGGGCAGCTCCTCGTCTCAGAGCCCTCCTCCGGCCTGGTGCTGCCTTTACAAACACCTGCAGGAGAAGGGCCACGGAAGCCCCAGGCTTTAGAGCCCTCAGCAGGTCTGGGGAGCTAGAGCAAAGGAGGGACCTCAGGCCTTCCGTTTCTTCTTCCAGGGTGGGGTGGCCTGGTGTTCCCCTAGCCTTCCAAACCCAGGTGGCCTGCCCTTCTCCCCAGAGGGAGGCGGCCTCCGCCCATTGGTGCTCATGCAGACTCTGGGGCTGAGGTGCCCCGGGGGGTGATCTCTGGTGCTCACAGCCGAGGAGCCGTGGCTCCATGGCCAGATGACGGAAACAGGGTCTGACCAAGTGCCAGGAAGACCTGTGCTATAAACCACCCTGCCTGATCCTGCCCCTGCCTGACCCCGCCACGCCCTGCCGTCCAGCATGATTAAAGAATGCTGTCTCCTCTTGGCGATTCAGACTGGTTCTTTCTGCTCGGCTCCCTCTGCCCACTCTGCGTGCTCCCTGCCCACAAAGAAGCGAGCCCCCAGGTCACTCACGCAGCTGGCGCGCCTTGGAGCTAGTGGCACCAGCATAGAGTCAGCCGTGTCACTCTTTGGTTGTGACCTCGGGCAAGTCCCCATATCTCTGCGCCTCGGTTTCCTGTCTGTAAAATGGGGACAATGGTAATCTACCTCATGCGGTGGACATAAGGATCAGATGCCAGGTTGCTTGATGAGTGCCGCGTTCATGCTCAGCATCTGCTGAGCGCCAACTGTGTGGCGCAGAGCTGAGCACCTGTGCCGTTTATGCTCCAGTGAGGCACACGCAAGCCCCCCCACCTCCCGCCCCGGGGACCCTGTCGCATGTTTTGCGTTTAATTATGATGAGAGAACTGTTGGATCTTCTCTGTGGGAAAACACACACTACTACATTGTACAGTGGAGCATCTTGATGGATCTGGCTTTCTTTTTTTTTTGAGATGGAGTCTCTCTGTCACCCAGGTTGGAGTACAGTGGCGCAATCTTGGCTCTCTGCAACCGCTACCTCCCAGGTTCAAGTGATTCTCTTGCCTCAGCCTCCCGAGTAGCTGGGATTACAGGCGCCCACCACCACGCCCAGCTAATTTTTGTATTTTTAGTAGAGATGGGGGTTTCACCATGTTGGCCAGGCTGGTCTTGAACTCCTGACCTTGTGATCTGCCCACCTCGGCCTCACAAAGTGCCGGGATTACAGGCGTGAGCCACCGTGCCCGGCCTGGCTTTCTAATATGTCGTCAAGTTTGGACTCTCTAGGCTAGCCTGGTGGCTACTCACATAAGTATATTTAAAGTGACCGACGCTGATTTCCCAACAGACTTGACCGGGCATCCTGCTCTATCTGTGTTGTCCCTGGTGTGTTGCATGGCTTTTGGGCACCAGGTGGAAGAAGCATGCTATCGAGAACTGACCATACACCTGTGCCAGGATTCAGCCCAGCCCAGCAGCCCACCTTGCAGGGGCAGACAGGTCTCCGTTTCCTCGGAGGTCCCCTGACACTGAAGGGAGGCTTCCCACTGCACCTCAGGGTCATACAGCTCTTGCCAAAGAGGCTCCTCCCATGTCAGAGGCTACCCCGGGGAGCGATCTCCAGCGTGTTTCTGGGCCAGGCTCTATTTGTACACAATCGGCCTCACCAGCCTTGGGACAAAGGCTGTCCTGAGTGCCAGCCAGGAGCCTTTTGTCGTGTACAGCACAAGGATGAGCCATTTGCTGATCGCTGAGGCAGCAAAGCTTTGAAACTTCTTGCCAAGTGCCTGCAGGAGGATTGAAGCTTATCCTTTGTAAACTGAAGCCAAGTCCCCCAGACAGTTCCAGGCCACATTAGTTCAGGGAACAGAGGCCGGCTGTCTTTGTGTCATCCCATCTGACCCACTGCACACATTCCTCCACCCAGGGCTCAGATGTGGCCTCTGGACTGTCTAGGCCAGGTTTTTTTGCGCTAGGTCTGGGTTTCTGACTCAATGGCACCCGGATGGGTGCTAAGAGCCACTAGATCTTTGTGACAAGCTTCTCCCAATGGGCACGTTCTTGGCGGGGGTTGGTCAAAGGTCCTGGGAAACTGGAGGCCCCCAATCCTGCTGCCAGGTCTGTGGGGCACAGCGTCCCCCAGGAGATCTGCCATGCTTAGTACTGATGACCTCAGCAAGCTGGCTGAATGCCCATGTAATCACCTCTGGGGCAATCCCTTTAAGTTACATATTTTGAAAACGTTTTCCGCCTGAAACGTTAGGCAATGAGGAAGGGGAAGGAAAGGGTGGTCAAGAGGGGAAGCAGCCGTGGGAAATGAAAAATACCCCTGACAAGGAGTGTACCCCAGACAGGGCGACCTCACCCCCACCTTGCCATCGTTTTGTTGAGTGGCCCGGGGCAAGTGCAGGGAAGATTAAGGGGGAAAGGGTGATTAGATGGGAGCCTGAGTTAAAATCAGGGGCAGAGCTGGTGCAGGGATTTTAGCTTGATGGTGTCCCTGGTGACCTGCTGTCTGGATAGATGGGCTGGATCCATTTCATGGGCTAGGTTAGGTTGTGTCTGGAAGTGTTCAGCCTTCCTGGGGAGATGAGCGCAGGAGCTCCTCTGCCACATGGGAGTGTGGGGAAGGGAGTAGATAATTCTTATGTGGCGATCTGGGAAGGCTTCTTAGTGGAGGGGACATGTGGGAAGGGCCTTGGAGGGTGAATAGGAGTCTCAAAGGCACTTGACATGGGGCAAGGAGCTGATGAGAGGAAAGGGTTGCAGGCGGACCAATGTAGTCTATGCTCTGGGCAGTGGGAGAGACCAGTAGGTTGGATAGATGTCTGGAAAGGAGGCAAGGAGAGCAGAATGGGGTTTGAGACAGGAAAGGCCTGGAATGTCAGGCTAAGTCTAGGATTGACCTCTTTCTTAGGTGCTGGGGTGCCTTTAAGAGGCAGATCACTCTGCAGCCAGGTGGAGCACAGGCTGCAGAGGGTGAAGCTGGAGGCAGTGAGGGGGCCTGTGCCATGGTCCAGGGGAGGACATAGAACGCCTAGAAACTGGGTGAATCATGATGTCATCCTGGAGGGGGAGGCATGTCCCCAATTGACTTTGAAGTTGGTGAGAGATTCAACAGCAGAGAGGAGGCAGGAGGGCAGCTGGGGGTTGTTGGGGGGACGGGGTCCAGCTTGGATTAAGGGTCTACCAGGGTGTTTCTCCCACAAGGCTTTCGTTAGCCAGTGGGAAGCCAGCAGGCCGGGGTGCCAGGAGGTGGGCTCCTGTGGCAGCTCTGCCCAGGAGAGTCCCTTGTTTGGCTGGAGGACTGGAGGGTGCTGGGTAAATCGTTTAGCCTTTTTGGGCCCCATATTGTCCTTATCTGTAATATCAGATGCAAAAGCCCTTCTCTCTTACCCCACTGAGGACTTCAGGGTATCCAAGGCTGCAGGGGCATGGCTATTTTCAGAACCCCAAACCAGGACCCATGGAGAAGTGGCAGTGGGACAGAAAACGTGAAATTAGCAGCAGTTGTCCCAGAGAATACTAAGTGTACGGGACAGGGCTGGGGAAGCCTGAGAGAGGTGGTGAGTGCTCAGACGCCGGCATGTATGGAATCTGGAGCCAGGCTGCGGGTTCTGACCCCAGCACACCCTTTCCTTAGACCAGCTCCTGGTTCAGGGCGCACAACATTATTTTTCCTATAGTATGACCGGGGCTTGTCACTTCCTCTCTGTGAGTCTTGGCTTTGTTCCGATAGAGGACTCCACGTGACGATGTATCTCGGTATTAGCAGTGTCTGGCACACAGCCGTGCTCAAATGGCATGGGTTCGATGAGTGACCTCTCTGAGCATCGTGGGAAAGGTGCGGGGCGAAGTGAGAAGCAACAGTCTCTGGCCAGGGAGGAGGCCCTGCAGCCCCCCTCTCCTCTCCCCGCCTCCTCCTCCACTTGGCAGGCCCGTCACAGTAGCCACATACTGCCACGTGTGCGTCTGGAGGAAAGGAGAAACACAGGCAGAAACTTAACATGACCAGAAACAGATGTCAAGAACATTATGGGTGAGGCCAGCGGGTGGCCGCAGGAGCCAGAGAGGAAGGAGGGATTTCCAGGACACGAGTCAAGGGTGCGTGGGGCTAAGCTGGCGTGGCTTTGGAGCAGCTGGCCTTCAGACCCAGGAGGACAGGAGGCGGTGGTGACCAGCACCTGGGGGCTGGGGTCGTAGCATACAGTCAGGTGGGCTGTGGAGTTGCAGCCTGGAGGTGGTGGCATTGGCGGCAGAAGTAGGGTTGCTTCACGGGAGGAAGGAGTCATTGGAGAGGGCTGGCTGTAGGCGCGTGGAGGAAAGAGGTGACCCTCTGCAGGTCAGCAGTAGAGTGGGAGGGTGGGGCGGTTCCTGCAGGTGGCTGGCTGCTCTTCGCTTCTGGTGGGAAGGAATGGATGCCACAAATGCAGATGTATACAAAACAGGCCGTGCTTTAGTTCTCTGAGTAAATTTCACTCCCATTAGGCATTTCCATGGGCTGAAGTCAAAGAAATGTGATTTTGGCAGCTGGGATTCCTCCCCGCCCCCCGATATTTCCCTGCGGCTGCATCTAAGTGCCCCTCCCTGCCAGCAGGGAGGAGCTGGGGCACTCCATGTCCACGTTTCCTCTGCGAGTTTGGCAATGTCCCATCTGCTCTGGGCTCCGGGTCCCACTCCCATACCTCCTGATTCATGCTCACTCCCACAGCGCCTCCCGGGTCCTCATCCCTCTTGGGACACCTGGGTGCTTCCTGTACACAAGTTCCTTGCCTCTCTGAGGGCTGTCTCACCCAGCCCTATCTGCCCGGATACACCCTGGGGCCATTTCTTCCCTGGGGTCTCAGCTGCCTTTCTAGGGTTTTGCCCAGGAAGAGAAGAATGGCTCCTCTGAAGCTCGGATGTCCCAAACCTGTTGGGGGTCTGCCTGGGAAGGAGGAGACAGGATCACTTTGGCCAGGAATCCCAATCCTAACTCATCTCTTGTTTCCCCTCTGCACCTCCCCACCCCGTCACCCAGGGATGACGCTCCTTGAGCTCATCTGAGCTCCTCTGAGTGTCGGGAGAGGGCTCAAGGCAACCTCTCCCAAAGCTTCTGGTGGGGCTCTCCTTGTTCTGAAACCTAAGAACGTGCAGAAGTCTCCCTTTCCCCCTCTGCTTTTTGCCTCGTAGTTTCTGTATTTGTTAAGATGCTTTTGGGTGCAAGGTACACATATTCAACCCAAAGCAGCAAGAGAGAAAAGTAACCCTAAGTCCCAGGCAGGGCGGCTCAGGGTCCGTCAATTCAGCAGCTGAGCAGCTCAGCAGCTCGCTAAGGACCTGGGTCTGCCCCATATCTCCATTCTCAGCACAACAGATTTGCCCTTAGGCCAATGATGTATGATCTGGCTCTGTGTCCCCACCCAAATCTCATCTTGAATTGTAATCCAAATTGCAATCCCCACATGTTGGGGAAGGCACCTGGTGAGAGGCGATTAGATCATGAAGGCGGTTACCCTCATGCTTTTCTCGTGATAGTGAGTGAGTTCTCACGAGTTTTGATGGTTGTATAAGGGACCCTTCCCCCTTCACTCTGCACTTCGCTCTCCTGCCAGCATGTGAAGGTGCCTTGCTTCCCCTTCGCCTTCCACCACGATTGTAAGTTTCCTGAGGCCTCCCCAGCCATGTGGAACCGTGAGTCAATTAAACCTCTTTCCTTTCTAAATTATCCAGCCTCAGGCAGTTCTTCATAGCAGTGTGAGAACGAACTAATACAGCCAGCTTCCCTCAGGGCCACAGGATGGCAGTCTCAAGATGGTGGCCATGAGATTTCTGTTCTGGGTCCAGGTGTCATATCTGGGTATCACCCGCCAGGTCCCAATCTGTTCTGCCAGTGTGCAGCCAATCGCTGTGACTTGGGATTTGCAAAAGAGAAAAGATTGATTCACAAGCCTGCCAAGCAAGGAGGTGGGAGAACAGCGTTCAAATCTGCCTCCCCAAAGACAAGGTTTAGGGATATGAATGGGTTAGAGAAGTGGGGTGATCTAAGGTGTGGGGACAGGTGATTGGCAGTGGGGAAGAATGACGTAACCGGTTTGTTCTGTACAAGCATAGTTGGGGTTCATGGCATTTCATAGGACACATACAGAAAACAGATGCATTGGCCTGATCTGAGCGTGGTGCTTTTGGTCCTCCAATATCAAATGGCCATCTCTTGGGCACATATACGGTTCCCCAGCTGAAGGGTCTCAACTGGTTTCAGCTGGCCCAATTCCTGAAAAACAACCGAAGCCACCATTACCATGGTGACCTATGAATGTTATCTCTAAAGTAGCCAGTGAAGGTTGTTTCAGCATTCAGTGGCAAGGCTTTCAGCTCCCTTGGCCTTCAGCTTCATGGAAAAAAGTCTCAAAACCCAGCGACGAACCCTTCCGTTTCATGGATGTGGCAAGGGTGGGTGAAAGAGAATCAGAGATTCTTCTGTCCAAAAGCCTCTTCTCGCTTCTCATTGGCCACAGCTGGTCACATAACCATACCTAACCCAACCTCGGGGAAGTGAGATTTACCCCTGAACCCTGAGGGGCTGGGCTGGAGCCCCAGGCAAGATCAGAGTCCCACTCACAGGTTGGGGTGGGGTGGGGAGAAGCTGTTGAGAGTCCAGTTGGTTCACATTTCGTAAAAACTCTCTGGCCATATTGTCAGATGCGGGTGCCTGACTCAGCCAGGGTGTCTTGGTTCCAGGAAATCTTCCCAGATGTGAGAGGCAGCTGGATCCCTGAGCGTCCCCTGGTTATAGTGTTTAGCAATAGTTGGCTCTGCTCACGAGGCTTCAAGCTCTTGGGGCAGCAGGGCTACAGCAGCGCCAAAGCTACCACCTCCAGGACCCCTCCCCAACCCCCCCTGGCAGTTTAGTGTGTGGTTAATGCTGAGGCTGCTGGAGGCACTGCCTGGGTTCAAATCTGAGTAAATGAGGGGAGGTCACTGAAACTCTCTGTGCCTCAGTTTTGTCACCTGTAAAATGGGGATGATATTAACACTATCTGGGCTGTTGTGAGGATTAAAGGAGTAAGTATATGTAAAATACTGGTACGTAGGAGGTGCTCTATAAATGTTAAAAATTATTTTAAGGTAGACACTTTCTTATATTTATTTTACAGAAGAAGAAACTGTGAAGTACAGAAAAACTGATTAATTTCCTTCCTTCATGTGTCATTTGTTTACCCAATCAATAATTATGGATTGATTCCTATTCTATAGGCTTGGCCCTGTGCTAAGCACAGGGGACAGTGTGGTGAGCCAAAACCCCACATGGTCCCTGCCCTCATGCGGCTTCCAGTCTAATAGGGGAGAGAGACATTACACAGTCACAGCAGGGCTTCAGCGTGGGGTAAGTGCTGGCAAGGGAGAAGCAAATTTGGGAGGGAGAAGTGGTCAGGGAAGGCCTCTCTGAGGAAGAGGTGGTTCAGCTGAGACCCAAAGATGAGAGACATAGCACAGCTGGTGGAGGGGCCAATATGGGTCAAGGCCAGGAGGTAGGAGGCTGCTCAGCCCCTCCCAGGAACTGAAAGAAAGACCCAGAGGCCGGAAGGAGCCAGGTTTTGCAGGACCTGGGATATTCGATCTTGTCCAGTGGGCCACACCAGAAGGAAGGGATGGTTCCTGGGAAAGAGGGGAGGCTCATCCAGGACCTGAGCTATGACTTCTCAGAGGATGGCTGGAGGATGGGAAACACTCTCTAGCTCTTTCGGTGGTTCTCAAGACAGGGCAGGGCTCCTTACAGGAGTCTATGAGGAGGCTTGTGCCCTCAGCCCCACAGCCAATGGTGGCTGGAGCCAGCTTGCACCAGAGCCGACTGCATGCATGTCTTCCCGATCGCAGGTTCAGAGACATCACGATGCTAGCTTGAAATGGGTCATGGTGGCAGGATATATACTGCTAGAAATTGGCAGATGTTGCAGTTTGCCAATTTCTAGTTAAAGCATTTAAAAATTCTTACAAAACAAAGCCTTCATTAGAAATGCGGCTTGGGTGGGGGCTGGGCCCAGTGAAGGAGGCACTTTGGGTGTGGCCCCAGGCTCACAAGTTCCCCTCTTCTCCAGGGACCCCTCGCCACTGCCCACCCCCAAAACCTCAGCCCCTTACCCCACCCTTGGGCTCATCTCTCTACCTCATTCTGGGCCCTATTGGATGGTTGACGGCTCCAAGGGAGGCCCCAACCCTAGCAGGGCCAGCTTGAGTCCTGCTCTGCAGATTTGGGAAGCAGGACCGCAGCCAGGAGCTGATGGAGCCGAGTGCATTAGGAGGTGCAGCCAGGGATCCCAAGCACAGCGGGCGCCAAGGAGCTGGGGCTACCCTGGCTTTTCCTTCCTGCAGGTTTGGTTGGGGCTCTAGCCCCTTGCCTCCATCCCCAACATCACTTTTTTTTTTTTTTTTTTTACTTTACCTTTAGTTAATAGTTGAGTTTTCTTGCTCACAACCAGAGAGCCTCAACTGAGGTGCCAAAGGTCCCAGAAATGCAAACCACCTACTTGAGAGGGAGCATTAAAGCAGTAACAGGTCATTTCAATCCTGACAACGTCAGCCGAGCATCTGTCCCAGGAGCTCTGGGGATCCATAAATAGCTCAGACAGGTCAGATCCCCTTGCGGGTTCTCAACCCAGGGGAAAGCTCTGACCCGCAGTAAAATGAGGGAAACACAGTGTATTGGGGCTATAAAAGAGGTTTATATAAGGTGCAAGAGTAGCGAGCTCAAAGGAGGAGCAACCAACTCTGCCCATATGTGTTTGGGTCTTGAAGGCTGTGTAGGAGTTTTCTAGGAGGAAAGGTGAAGAAGAGGATTGTGAGCAGCTTTCTATTCTGTACAACTGCATCTATAAATCCCATAAATACTTTCTGAGAACAAGTCAAGCAGTCTCTTCTCACGTGGAGCTTGCAGTCTAGCGTAGGCAAAGGCATGCATTGGGAATCATGTGGCACATTTCAGGGAGTTATAAATTGCCTCGCATATTCAGGAAGCATTCCATAGTTTTCATCCTTCCTCCAGTTCTGCCTGGCTCCCTCCTTCCTTCAGATTTTCCCATCGCCTTCTGGTGAGGTCCATCTACCCTGACTGCCTTGTTTAAAATTGTGCTCCTGATTCTCTGTCTCCCATTTTTTCTTTTCTGATAGCGTTTTTCATCTTTTAACCTCCTATGAAACTTACTTAGTCCTTATGTTTATTGTCTGTTTCTCACCCCACTCCCCACTAGACTGTAAGCGTCACAAGGGCAGGCGTCTTTGTTTTGTTCACTGTTGTGTCCTAAGCCTCTAGAAAAAGGGTTTGGCACATAGGGGCTCCTCAATAAATATTATTTGAATGAAAGAGCGTGAGGCCAAGCATGACGACTCACAACTGTAATCCCAGCACTTTGAGAGGCCGAGGTGGGTGGATCACCTGCGGTCAGGAGTTTGAGACCAGCCTGGCCAGCATGGTGAAACCCTGTCTTTACTAAAAACACAAAAATTAGCCAGGCATGGTGGCCGCGCCTGTAGTCCCAGCTACTTGGGAGGCTGAGACAGGAGAATTGCTTGAACCCGGGAGGCAGAGGTTGCAGGGAGCTGAGATTGTGCCACTGCACTCCAGCCTGGGCAACAGAGCGAGCCTCTGTCCCCCTCCCCACCCAAAAAAAAGAGCGTGAGTCCTAGAATTTGGGAGGTAGTAAAATCCACCCTCATCCATAATATCGGAAGTTCCACAGGCTGGCAGGATCATCCCACCACGTGCCCAGCTTCCAACCACAGAAAGGCGCTCCCAGAATTTTGCAGGATTTCTTTGGATTTGCTTCATGTTTATCTTTGAGATTGCTTCATCTCTTTGGAGATCAGCAGTAAAGTCTTAAAGGCAGCAGGAATCTGTGTGTTTGCGGAGACAATGAGGAAAGGAACTGAGGGAAGTGTGTGTGGCCCGTGCAGTGAGGCTGGGAGGCCATGAGCCACGTCAAGCAGTGACTGCGTGGTGGAGAACCCCAAATGTGGCACCCTTGGGACTGAGAGGTGGCCAGAAGGGGCAAGTCGACTCCCATGATGCCTCCACAGAGAGGGATGGAGGCTTGGGTTCTAGACTGTCCACCCCCAAGAGGCCACGCCTGTCATTACCCCAGCCCCTGGGTGGCGCTGCTTCCCCTGTGGCAGACACGCATCTCTCCACGGCTGGGGGCAGCGGGGACAGTGCAGAGTCTGCCCCCGCTGCTGGCCTAGCTTGTCCATCCCTGTCTATGAGGAGCTGTTGCTCTTCTCAGCTGCTCTCCTGTTAGGTCTTGGGACCTGCACCTTCTGTGATGTCAGCTGCTAAAACACACCCCATCTCTTCTGCAAAACAGGTAGCTCATTTCACCCCCAACCTTGGCAAACACCAAACTTCCTGCAGCTGCTTTGGTTTTCTTCAGGGCCTTTCTGCTGTGTTCTGGCCTTCCTGAAAGAGTCTTATTATTCTGTCCATCCACATCCACTGTCTGTCCATCCGTCTGTCTGTTCATCCCTTCATCCATCCATCCATCCATCCATCCATCCATCCATCCATCCATTCTTCCTTCCTTCTCCCCCATCCTTCCTTCCTTCTCCCCCATCATTCCTTCTCTCCCTCCATCATTCCCTCCATGATCCCCCCATTCATCCTTCTTCTGTTCATCCATCAGTCCATTTTCCATTCACCCATTAACCACCCTTCTATCCACATCACAATGACTAAGCACCTCCTATGCTCCAGGCACATACCAGGCAGCATAAAGAAATGCAGAATGAATGGGATTCAGTTCCTGCCCTTGGGGAGCACCCACTTTAGTTGGGGAGAGAAGGAAGGCCTCTGGCAGGTACCTAACCCCATCAGAAAGCAAGGGTAAAGGCCTGGGAGGCTTCACGGAGGATGTGAACCCGGGGCCTGAAGGATGATGAGTCCGCGGGATAAGAAGGCAAAGGAAGGATGCCACATGCAGGGCAGGGAGGGGGCAAACCCTGGGAGGAGGGGGAGGCATGCAAGCGATTCTGCGTTCTGTGTGGCCAGAGGATTGGATGCAAAGGGGGATCTTCAAGAGGGGGCCCAGTTAGGGACAGCCTTGAAGCCAGACTCAGGATGCTTGGATAGGGTCTTGAGGGCAGTGGGGAGCCCCTGAAGAGTTGTGTGCAAGGATGCTCTGGATGCAGAGTGAAGGATGACATGGCAGCGTCCCGCTAACAAATATGAACCCCTCTGTAAACAGAACCCCTGTGTAAGCAAGAACCCTCTGTAAACAGAATCCCTCTGTAAACAGAACCCCTGTGTAAGCAAGAACCCCTCTGTAAACAAGAACCCCTCTGTAAACGTGTAAACAAGAACCCCTCTGTAAACAGAATCCATCTGTAAGCAAGAACCCCTCTGTAAACAGAACCCCTCTGTAAGCAAGAACCCCTCTGAAAACAGGAACCCCTCTGTAAACAGAACCCCTCTGTAAGTAAGAACCCCTCTCTGTAAGCAAGAACCCCTCTGTAAACAGAATCCATCTGTAAGCAAGAACCCCTCTGAAAACAAGAATCCTTCTGTAAACAGAACCCCTCTGTAAGCAAGAACCCCTCTGAAAACAAGAACCCTTCTGTAAACAGAACTCCTCTGTAAACAAGAACCCCTCTGTAAACAGCATCCCTCTGTAAACAAGGACCCCTCTGTAAGCGAGAACCCCTCTGTAAGCAATAACCCCTCTGTAAACAGCATCCCTCTGTAAACAGAACCCCTCTGTAAGCAAGAACCCCTCTGTAAGCAGAACCCCTATATAAGCAGTGCCCCTCTGGCACTGGGCGTGGAGGGAAGGAGATGGAGCTGGGGAAATATTAGGCTCTGGTGATAATTGTTGTTCCCCAACTGCCTTCAGCCACCTAGTCTGTGCCTTGGCTCTTGCAGCTCCCTCTGTCTTGGGCCCTTTCTCTCGACCCATTCCGGCCTATGGAACACTCATCCCCATCCTCCCAGAGAAGAGGAAGAACCCAGCCTTCCTCAGGTGCCTCCTGCATGCCAGGAACTGTGGGTGATGGCTTCTCTGTGTGCACAATCTCATGCCATCCCCATGAACCTAAGAGGTGGGGAGTAGTCGCATGTTTCAGATGCAGAAACAGGCTCAGAGAGGTAAAGGAACTTATCCAAGATCACACAGCTAGGAAGTGGCCAAGGTGGGATGGGGACCCAGCCCTCACTGCCTTTGCACAATGACCCACTGCCCACAGCACCGATGCCACATCCTCTGGAGCCTCCCCTATGGCTCCAGCCAAGCCACGTTCTATTTTTGGGTTTGTGTTTTTGTGTTTTGTCATTTGCAGGCGTTTCAAACTGGGCACGCTCTATGCCTCTCATACTCATTATGACCACATTTTCTAAAGACAAAACTGCACAGACAGCCTGAAAAAGTATTTTTTCTGTCTTGTTACTTTCTTTAATAACGTCTTAGCCAGTTTAGAATCAAATCACATGTATTTACTCTTCTCACGTGATACCAGGACTGTTCTGAAAGTTCAGGCCAAGGGTCACCACATTGACACGATTTCCTTAGTTATAATCATTTGCATACTTGTCCTACCTCCATACCAAGAGAAGGTACTCTGAGTTAGAGTTCAAATCCCACACATCCTTGTCATTCCCACAGTGCCCAGCATGCTGCTGCCAGCAGGTGCTCAGTAAATCCTTACTGAACTCATGCAAAGGGGACAGACGCCACCTCAGCCCAACACCAAGATTGTCCTCCCTCCCTCCCGCACCCCTTCCCTTCCTCCCTTGCTTCCCATCTTTCAATAAATGCAGTTTGAATGCATTTGTCACACAAAGCTTTAGGCTCAGAGAAGCTGTGGGACTCCATGCACTTCACCTGTGGCCTTGAGGCACCGCAGTCCAGCCAGGAAGACAGACACCAGGCAAATCCTCCCACCTATGCCCAGTCAATTAGGAATATGAGCACCTGATCCAGTGATGGGCAGGGCAGCATCCACTTTAGATGCACGGGGTGCTGGGAAAGCTGCCCTGAGAAAGTGACCGCAGGCTGAGGCCTGGGGCAGAGAGAACGTGGGCAGGGGCTCGAGGCAGGGAAGAGCTTGGAGACTTCCAGGAACTGCCAGACAGCCAGGGGCAGTGGGGCAAGGGAGAGAAGAAGCCAGAGAGGCCGCAGGCCTGGGCTTTCCATGGCGAGGAGGCCTGGATACTGCATAAGTGCAGCAGGAAATGTTGGGTGGGGTCGGATTTTCACTTTACAAGGGCAGTCGCTGGGGCAGAGGGCATGGGACTCAGGGAGGGACTCAGGAGGCAGAGAGATGGTGGGACGAGACTGAGGGTGCCGGCTGGGGCTGGGGGTAGAGGACTGTGAGCGCTTGGCACTTGGAGGCAGTCAGAGCTGGTCTGGGCAGGGGTGCTGTCACCCAGGGCCGAGGAAAGGGATACAGGAGGGGCAGAGGGTGGGTCGGAGGCTGTCCTGGGAACCCTAAACGTGGGGGCCAGGAGAAGGAGGTGCTCCCGTTTCTGATCTGTACCAATTAAGGGGAAGGTGAGAAATTGCTTGGGTGGAGTGTCCTTCTCTGAGTCTGGGGGTTAGGTGGGATGAGGGGACCTCGGAGGCTGGAGGCCAGAGTTCACACTCCTGCCCTGCTGTGTGACCTAAGGCTGAGAGCTGCCTCTCTCTGGGCCCAGATGCATCATTACCTATTCAGCAAGCAGCTGGGCCTGAGAGCCTCCGAGATCCCTTGCAGGTCTGCTGGTCTCGGCTGCCTTTCCTTGGTCTGCCCTCATGCTGTCTTCCCAGAAGCCAGGGGCCCAGTTTGCTTCCCCTGCTTGTCCTGTGGGCACTTGCGACTCCCGGGGAGGCAGCAGACACGGTCCAGCGTGGTCACGCTCCTGGCCGCGACTTCACCTCCCTCCTGCAGCACAAGTCTCGAGGAGGCTGGGGAGGTGCGCGCACTGCCCTCTGGTGGCAACTTCTGGGCCCACCTGTCATTGTGCCCTGCTGTTTTCTAACTCAATTATTCTTGAAGGGATGATTGAGCGCCTTTTGCATGCAAAGTCCCGAGGTAGGCATGAAGTAGTTGGGCAGTCCAGATGGGGGAGAAGGTGTCGTGGATGTGGAGCCCAGGGTGTCACTCTACGCGCTCCCGATCCCTCCCAAGGCCTAGGCGTCCTCCCTCCACCGCGGGAACGGAGCAGGGGTGGCACAGAACTCTGGTGGCTGCAATGAGGGTTCAACGGTTGAATGCGTGGAGTGCATCTTAGCTTCACTTCTGGCCCAGGAAGCGCAGGCTCCGTGTACAACACACGCAGCGGTGCAGTGCCTTCAAAGGGGGCGTGTGGCTGTGTGTGTGGATGTGCCAGTTTTGGGCTTCCTCTCGGCAGGAGGTGGGGGGGCGGGGAGGCTCTGGCGCTGAGTGCCCCCTTTCCATTGCGGTCCTTTGGTGCAGTTGAGGGTCCCCCCAGTAGCAGGGGCATTTCCAAGGAGCCAGGACTTCAAGGGCCTAAGGCTGGAGGGGCCCTGTCCAGTGCAACAGAGAGACCTTGAGCATGGGCGGTGAGGTCACCTCTCCTGGCCCAGCTATCAGCTGAGCTGGATGTGCATGGCTCAGGTTTGCACAAAGGAGGCCCACCTGTTCACAGGAGTTCTGGAAAGAACACACCTGTGGCAAAGACACACACACGTGCACACCAGACAGGCCATGATCTCGCTCCCCTGGCGAGGAATGACTTCCTTGCCGTAGGGAGAATTCAGGGGAGTCTGGCCCTCTTGAGGAGATGCTGTAGAGGGGAGTTGTGGACGGTTGGATTCAGGATGTTTTCAGCTCCAAGTGTCTGCTTTAGGCCGGTCTGCACCTGTGTCCTCCCCGCCTCTGTCCTTCTGGCACTTGCCCTGGGTAGGCCTGGCTCAAAGCCCTCTTCTCCCCTCCTCCCCCAACCCCACAAACAATAATAAAATTAAATTAAATTAAATTAAATTAAATTTTTAAAAAAAGCCCTCTTCTCCATGAAGCCTGCCCTGAAGAGGCAGCTGCCCAGGAGCATCTGCACATCTCATACAAACTTTAGCTGTGATTATATTGCATTCGTTCCCATGCCTATTTCCTGTCCCTGCAGCTAAACTCTGGGCTCCTTGAGGGCTGGGTGGAGTCTTGGGCATCTTTTGTGGCTGCTATAACTCCCAGCCCTGAGCCAGGATAATACAGACGCTTGACAAACGCTCCATGCTGACTGGCAGGTGTTCCTACCTTCCATGCCTGGGAAAATCATGATTCAGACTCTCCCTGGAGAGGCCACGGTCAGAGAAACATTAGGAAGGACAGAGTGGGTTCTGGAAGGCCAGAGGCACACGGCCAGAGCAGGCACAGATGCGGCCAGCCATAGCTCAAATTCTCATGGCTCTCTTCTTCCAAAGGTGGCGGCAGCCTGGTAGTTAGGAGCATGTGCTTAGGAGCCAGATGGCCCAGGCCCACATCCCATCTCTGACACTTATCACCTACCTGTGTGCGGCCCTGGGCGAGTTATTTAACCTCCCCGTGCCTCAGTTTTTTCATCTGCAAAATAGGATAAGAGTCCTAGTCTGCAAGTGCTGTTGTCAGGATTCACTGAGGTAACATGCGGCCTCTCAAACTTCTGTGCACACTCGAGTTGCTTGGGGACGTGGTGAAAATACAGATTCTGGCTCGGGAGGGCTGGGCTGGGGCCTGAGCATCTGCATTTCTGACCAGCTCTCAGGGAATGCTGATGCTCTTGAACCTGAAACTGCCTTCAGCATAGTCGGGAATCAACATGTGTACTTAGAATAGGGCCTGGTGCGTAGTAAGGGCTAGAGGAGTTACCTAGTACCTCCCTGGGAAGGCTATGCTTCTAGAACTTTCTGCTCTGTAGCATTCTGCCCTCTGCATTCCTGGTGGCCCTCTGCTCTCTGGAGCCTCGGTGATGCTGGAGCCTCTGGTGTCTCTGAGGTGGGCTGTTCAGAGCCTCCTTGGTGGTCTGCATTCTGGGCCTGAGAAGGGACAGACAGGAGGTGATTTCAAGCGAGAGAGAAACAGGAAGAAGGCCCAGTGGGGAGAGGTGGCTTGCCCGGCCCACTCACCTGAATGTCCAGGCTTGGTGTGAGCTTCACAACTTAAACCACACATCTTGCAGCTTCCACCATCCCCCCTGCCCACCACCCCCACCACCCGGCCCCTCACCCCTCACTCCTGCCACACTGCTTCATGCAGGAACGGCACAGATGACTTCAGCCAGAGTGTCAGCAGCACCTCTGGGCTCAAACCACAGGCCTGAAGCCGCTGACCACATCCTCCCGATCAAAGCACCCCCGTGCCCCCTCCTCACTCTGCTCCCCTCCTCTGACCCCTTGTGCACTGGCCAGGTCTCTTCTGGGCCCTGACGCCTGGCTTAGGGAGGAGTGAGGCTGGGGTTCTCGGGTACTTTTGGAGAGGTGGAGGAGGTTGGGGGTGAAGTAGTGGGGCTGAGGGGCAGGGAGCGCAGAGGGAGAACCCTGTGTTGACAGGCTACATGGCTGACTGTTGCTTTCCGCTCTGCTCTGCAGGCCGCCTCTCCTCACGCACCCTCACGTGTGATACAGGTGATGGCCTCTGGGCTGTTTCCAGAGGTCCCATGTGCAACCCACAGAAATGGTGTGGGAACAGCAAAGCACCTTCGTGCATGAGCAGCAGCCATGGCACTCTCGGCCTGTGCTGCTGGCTGCCACCTGAGCTCCACTTTGGGGCCGTTTCTCACAGAGCAGCTCCACGCACTGAGGAATGAGCTGGTCTCAGTTTCCTCCAGCCTGGCCCAGTAAGAGGGTGACAAGCCTGGGGCCCTTCGTCCCCTGCTGCTTTCAGGTTTGCTCATGAGTTCCCGGAGGCCCATGAAATCAAGGTCACAGGCTCAAGCCCATGTGGGTGGTGGAGACGAGCATCCCTCTGCTCCACTCAGGTAGCAGCCCCGACCCTTCCTGGCTTTCCCCCGAATGGGGGGCCTCAGGGCGGGGGTATAAGGCATCCTCATGCCAGGAGCCCCTCCCAAGGGCTGAGAAGAGTCCCTCCTCCCTTGAGGGAGGCAAGGTGCCCAGTTTGGATTCCTCCAATCAGAGGATGACTTTCCTGGAAGAGCTTCTGGGATCATCCAACCCAAGCCAGTCCTTGCGGGGCATCTTTGGTTCCTGCTTGCTCAGTAGGCATCAGGCCTCCTGCTTCTAGAAGCGGCCCCCCCATTTCTCTTTGGGGTATCTACCTTCCTGCATTTGGTGAAGTCTTGGTTGAACTCTCAATCAAAGTACCCCACCCTTTCCAGCTGGAGGATGGGCATTTGACGTGATCTTAGCCAATGAGACTCTTTGAATTCTAATGAATGAAGCCAGCAAACAGCTGGAGGTTGGTGCCTCAAAGGGGTCTCTGCAGCTGGACCACACTCAGCTGCAGGTGCGGCTGGTCTGGAGTCTGCCCGTCCCTGAGGTCTGGGTCTTCAGCTCCCTCCAGAACCTGAGAACCACTCCAGATCCTCTAACTAGTTCTGTTTGGCTCAGGTTAGCTACAGCCTGTTCCTGCGGTCTGTAGCTCCAGAGCAGTGATGACTGCAGGGAGCGACCCTAGTGAGTTGGAGGCACTGCTGGGGCTCAAACTTAGGTCTCCAAACCCTCAGTCCAGTGCTCATGCCCCTGGGGAGAAGCCTCTGGCCTGGGGACAGGGGTGGGACTGAAATGAAGTGGAACCGAAGGGAAGAAATGAGTGTTCTCATCTCATGGTCTGGTGCTGGGGTGTGGGTGTTGGTGGTTTGGCTGCTGGGCAGAGTGTGAGGAGGTGTATAGAACTAGGCAGGCAGGGGTAGGATGCGGTCAATCAGACAGGTAGCCTTTGGCCCTCACAATCCCCTGCCTCTTCCCCAGTACCCCTGGCATGTGGTAGGATCTCTGATCTGGGGTAGAGGGGTGGGGTGGGGGTCAGGGATTTGGTAAACAGAGCCTGTGCCTGACCTGATTCAGACTAACCAGAATGGGTTTGTGACTCCGTGTGGTAGAGGCTTCACAGTGGGACTGTCTCTAACTCACTTTGAAAGTGAAACCAGCCACTCACCAAACATGGGGGCCCCTGCTGGTTCTGAAAGCTCTGGCAGCCTCTTTATTCACCAGTCACCCGAAGTATAAACCAGTTAGCAAGACAGCTTCAAGGTCAGCCAGCCAACTGGTGTGTGCGTGGGCCTCACCAGGCCTTCCAAGTGCGCATTTAGGTAGCCTTCCAGCAAGTCGGTGGGCTGTGAGCTCAGGGTCAGCTCTCCCCCATGTTTGGGTCACCTACCCCACCAGTACATTAGGCAGAGGAGGTTTTTATCAAAGACCTCCCGTACTGTCCTTGAGCATCCAATGCTCACACTGGCACCAGGGCCTGTGGTACAACACTGGTCCTACTCCAAGGCCCCGCAGACAGAAAACCGTGGGGGCGGGCACTCTTCCCCTCGCTGCCCTCTCACTCGATCGCCATCACCCAACGTGGTCAGTCATTGCTGTAATTAAAGACTATTTCAAATCTGAGATCTGTACTAAATATATGCATGCCCCTGTACTTGGCTAAGGCACCTGTGTCAGCCAGGAACTTCAGTTGCAAAAACTCTACTGGCTACTGTCATTAGAAAAGGAATCATTCAGGATATTCTGAAGCTCAGGAATCTCTGGCAGGACCCGCAAATCAGGCTTGGAGAAGCTTGGAGAAGCTTGGAGAGGCTTGGAGAATTGCTGCATCCTGGACACGATGTTCCGACACCACCCTCGCCAGCCTCCAGGTCTTGGAGTTGAGGCTTCTGATTGGGGAAGCCTAATCACACGCACACACTTCAGGACTGAGGTCTGGAGCTGAGGCTTCTGATTGGGTGAGCCTGGTCACATGATCATATTCCCAGCCTGTGGTCTGGAACCCAGGCTTCTGACTGGGGGAACCTGGTCACATGCCCTCCCAGTCAGCAGTCTGGAGCTGGCTTCTGATTGGGGGAGCCTGGTCACATGCTCACTTTCCCAGCCTGTGGTCTGGAACTGAGGCTTCTGATTGGGGGAACCTGGTCACATGCTCTCCCCGCCTGAGGTCTGGAGCTGAGGCTTCTGATTGAAGGAACCTGGTCACATGCTCACTTTCCCAGCCTGAGGTCTGGAATGGAGGCTTCTGATTGGGCAGCCTGGTCACATGCCTATGTCCCAGCTGCAAGGGAGGCTGGAAAAGCAGTTTCAGCTTACTGGTTAGGGTAGGAGACTCCTAAAAAAGGAGATAACTCCAACACAAGAAAGATTTGCAAAGATGCAGCGCACCCAGATGTAAACTAAATATCCAGGACAGCACCTGAGAAGAAACAGGGCTGGCAGAGGGTCCCTTTGTCAATGCCACCCTCAGCTGCACTCCTCCCTCTGAAAGTGGCGCTTCCTCACATATGGGCCGGCTGTGGTGGTGGAGTTTTGTTGCATGTTTAAGTTAGAATTAATGGCGAGTATTTTAAATGGGAGGTTTTCACGTTTTTTTGTTTTGGTTTCTTTGAGATGGAGTCTTGCCTGTGGCCCAGGCTGGAGTGCAGTGGCACGATCTTGGCTCACTGCAACCTCCACCTCCCGGGGTTCAAGCAGTTCTCCTGCCTCAGCCTCCCAAGTAGCTGGGACTAAAGGCATGTGCCACCATGCCCAGCTAATTTTGTATTTTTAGTAGAGATGGGGTTTCACCACGTTGGTCAGGCTGGTCTCAAACTGGTGACCTCAGGTGATCCACCTGCCTTGGCCTCCCAAAATGCTGGGATTACAGGTGTGAGCCACCGCATCCAGTCTTTTGTTTGTTTTTTTGAGACTGAGTCTCGCTCTGTCACCCAGTCTCGCTCTGTCACCACGATCTCACTGCAACCTCTGCTTCCCAGGCTCAAGCGATCCTCCCACCTTAGCCTCCCGAATAGCTGGGAATTACAGGCATGCACCACCATGCCCGGCTAAATTTTTTTTTTTTTTTTTTTGGCATAGACAGGGTTTCGGCATGTTGGCCAGGCTGGTCTCGAATTCCTGAGCTCAAGCAATCCACCCGCCTTGGCCTTTCACGTTTTTAAAAATACCAATTTTAGCTTCTTTTGCAAATTGAGTTTCCTGGTAGTATGGTGCAGACATCTCCATCTGCCATTTCTCCTGTAGCTGGAGTCTCCAATGTGCCATGGTCCCCACCTGTCCACCTGATGTAAATTCACTTCCTACCTGGCCCCCATGGGCATCTCAGTTCCCTGCCCAAACCCTCCCAGAAGGAGAGACTAGGCTTCCTTAGTGATCATGCTGCGTGGTACTGGTTCTGTTAGCCCCCACCTTCTCCTGTACCCACTGGGCCTGCCTGGAGAAAGAGCGAGGCCCCGCTGAATCTCATACACTCCAGTGATGCTCCCTTAGCCACGGATAAGCTGCCATCCCGCTGCTCCCCACAGGGAGCTGCCGTCACTGCATCAGCCAATCAGTGTCCTGGCCAGTCAGACACTGGGTTGTGTTGTGTTCTTAATCAGTAAGGGTGTGCCTGGTTACCTCTGGCCATGGATGTGAAGAGTCTTTGATGTTGGGAGGTCAACAGTAGGATATATTTTAGCTAACTGTTGATTGTCCAAAAATGCTATTTACTCAAGGAGGTCTTTACAATGCAGTGGCCCTCGCAATGTGCCCACAAACCTGTATACGCAGAAATGATATCAAGAGAATCATGTTTTAAACTTGGCTGGGAACAAGGCTGGGCACTATGTGAGCACACAGGTGGAGAAGGCTTTGGGCTGCAGATGCAGGGACCATGGGAATAACAACGGGTGGCCCCCACGCCAGCACCCCTGAGTGCCAACCAAAGTGGGGGGTCCTTCTCCATGAATCCTTGTCACTGGTCAGGCACTTTTGGGGGCTTTGCCCTAGTCCAGAACTTCCCTTCTGCAGGCTCAGTTCAGCCCCTTCGTTCTGGGGAGGGCTTCCTCTGCATCCTCACTGTGGCGTGTTTCAGGATCTGCCAAAATGCACCTGCCTCTGTCCCCTCGGCCTCACCTTGTTTAGATTCTTGAAGTGGTAATGGAACACAAATGCTAGGACTCCAAGAGGCAGAGACCAAGAGGCAGAGGTTTTACAGTTTCTCTCTATATATGTTGTAGGGCCAGGTGATACCCAGATCTAGCCTGCCTTGCTCCTTCCCCCTTCCTGAAATGGGCATCTTTCCCGCTCGGAGGAGTTCAGGGTCCCCTGTTCTCAGCGAGCCCAGGGTGGCCGCTTCTGGTGCCAGGCCTGACGGAGGGCATCGTCACTCTTGAGTGAGAGCATGTTTCTGACCCCATTTTTTGCTTTTCCCCAAGCAGACTTTGCAGGCAACGGTGACAGCCAGGCATAACCTTCTTAGAGGGACATTTTAATTTTTTCCGATTCTTTAATAAAAACACTAAGAAAAAAAAAAGCAAGCAAGTGTTACTTCTTGATAGAGAGGAACTTCTCACAGACACTTTTCAAACATCACACGTCCTTTTTCCTCACAGCAACACCTAGATTGTCTTCTGAGAAAGATCGCAGATTTTGGTGAAACCTGCCCAAGAATAAGAAAAAGCAAAGAGAATGTTTTCACTCTACCTGTTTCCCACAGGAAAAGCGGAAACCGTTGTGGGTACTGGCTTTCTTGACTGTCCCCATCACAGGACACTGGCCTGGCTGTGAGGAGACCTGGGTTAGGAGTCCGCCTTTTTGCCAACCAGCGTTGTGGCTGTGGACAAAATGCTTTCCTCCCTGGGTGCTCTCAGCATAGTGAAGACGGCGGAGGATGGGTGGTTCCACGGGCCTGGTGACTCAGGGACAGTTTCAGGTAGGAAACTGGCTGGAGGACTTGGCTGCTAGCAGTGTCCAGGGATTCCTGCCTGAGTGGCTCAGTGCAGGTAGATGCTAGTTCACAGACATGCTCCCACGCACCTTCACAGACGTATGCCACACTCATGCCTTCGAACACAGGGCTTACCGCCTTTATGTTTACCTGAGCAGTGGTGCACCCACGTGTATTCTGAACTTCGTTTTTTGTCTCTTCTCCGTACATCCTGGAGATTGCTCCATATCAGGACCCAGAGAGCCTCCCCTTCCTATTTTTTTTAGACGGAGTCTTGCTCAGTCACCCAGGCTCGAGTGCGGTTGCGCAATCTTGGCTCACTGCAACCTCTGCCTCCCGGGTTCAAGTGATTCTTCTGCCTCAGCCTCCTGAATAGCTGGGACTACGGGGTGCCCACCACCACGCCCGGCTAATTTTTTTTTAATTTTTATTTTTGGTAGAGACGTGGTTTTGCCATGTTGGCCAGGCTGGTCTCGATCTCCTGACCTCGTGATCCGCCCGCCTCAGCCTGCCAAAGTGCTGGGATTACAGACATAAGCCACCGCGCCCAGCCCTCCCCTTCCTATCTTGGCATAGCTACGTGGCATTCCACTGGATGGAAGTTCCCTAATTTGCTCATCACCTGTCCCCTATGGATGCGCATTTTGTTGGCCTCGGGTCCCGTGACTGCAGGAGTTACTTTGTACACACGTGTTCAACATGGGTCACTCTGTTGATGAGTTTTAGGTGTGGAATTGCTGGGTCATGTGTCAGAGATGTTGGTAGATGTCAGATTGCCTTCCAGGGAGATGCTTGAAGCCCACGCCAGCAGGGTGACTCGCCTTTTCAACCTGCCTTTGATGGCAAAGCTTTTGAAACTTCAAATATGCTATCCTGGTGTTTTTAATGTGTATTCTCAGGACTCTTCAGGGTATTAGGGACTTAGCACTTTTGATTCTTTCTCTTTTCCTTTTTTCCTTCCTTCCCCTCATATTGACACTGTCCGTATGTCAGGTAATTTTCTGGGTTCTGGAGTGGTGTGGATGAATCCCACACTGTTCCTGTTGTCCAAGAGCTCCTGGTGTAGACTCATAAGCAAGGCTCTGACATGAGATATGGTAACTGGCTTGTGCCCAGAATCTGCCTTGGCCAGAATTGGAGATCAGGGAAGGACTGGTTTTAAATCGGGGAGCTGATTAGTCTGAGTAAGTAGGGTGGGAATATGGTGACCAACTTTGTCCTAGGAATATCACTGTAAATCTTATGTTCTGGAAACCCCCCTCAGTCCCAGGCACAGTGGGACAGCTGGTCACCTTGGCGCGATCCTGGTAAGGAATGGCATGGTTTGCACAAGATAGGAGCTGCTCAGGGCGCTGGTGCTGGTGTGGCTATGAAGCAGGCAGCTCCCGGATGAACAGGGAAGAACGTGGGGCTTCAGGTCTGGAGCCTGGGGGGCTGGCGTGGAGGTGGCTGCTGTGGCAAAGCAGAAGTAAGGGTGATGGCTTGGAAGGAGGGGGTGAGGGAGGGAAGGAGTCAGGGAGAATGGCCACAGTCTGTCTTGGGGACTGGTGGGTGGGGCGCCTCCAGTGAAGAGCAGGTGTCAGCAGAGGGGCATGCTCGGAGGACAGCCCTCAGGAAGTCGGCCGCTAGCCTGCTCTTTCTCCTTGTTCTGCTCTGGCCCCTCTGTGGGCCCCTGCAGCTTTGTGATCCTCATTTGTCATGAGGGGTACCCCACAGTCTGATGGGGACTGGGCGGAGGGTCAGACACCAAATTATGTATACCATAGTCCTCCTGACCAGGGACCAGGACTCAAAACCAGGTCACTGGTGAGGCCTGGCACTGTGGGGGCAGGACTTTTTTTCCAGCTGGGGACTCGGCTACCTGCTGACTTTCCAGAAGACAGGTCACAGCACCGAGCAGGGGTGGGCGGAACACAAGGACTTGAGGGTGGGTGACAGTGTCAGCTGGCTGAGCCAGGGAGGGCAGGAAGGGAGGTGGCCCTGGAGATACTGGAGGTCTTCACAATGGCAGAGGACAGGCGGTGGCAGAGACAGTGAATGGCACCCCCAAACCTGCTCTCCCCTGCCCGTGTGCCCTCTACTTATAGCTGGCTACATCTCCCAGCCTCCTCTGCAGCTTGGTTGGCTATGTGACTCAGGCGTAGCCAATGGGATGTACATTAGAAGTGGCTACGGCAGCTTTGGGGAAGGGTCCTTAACAGGCAGAGGCAAGCCCTCCCTCTCTCCTTCCTTTCCCTTCCATCTGCAGGAACGCAGAGGTGATGGGTGGAGCTTGAATAGCTCTCTTGGTCTATGAGGAGATGGGAGAAGGATATTGAAGAGACCCTAGTAGCAAGCCAGATTTAGCTCAGGATCCTGACATCATAAAGCCACCCCACCTAGCCTGGGTGGCCTCCCTTTGGACTTCTTTTATGTAAGAGAGAAATAAAGCCCTCTCTTATTTTAGGTCACTGTTTTCTTCTTCTGTTCTCTTTGGACACACGCAGCTGAACTTCATCCTAACTGGGACACTGTTGTACAGTGGAGGCGGTGATGGCAGCACGCGGGTGAGCTGAGGTGGAAGTTCAAGGGGTCTTGGTTAACACAGGTCAGAATGATGGCAGGGTGCAAGTGCAGGCCTGGGTGTGGGACTGGTATGGAGCAGTTCAGAGGGAACAGGAGGCTGGAGGCTACAGTGTGGACCCTGACATCTCCTGGGAGGCGGAGTGGAGAGGGAGGCTGAGCGCAAGGGCCAAGCACTCCAGTGAGCAGAGGGAGGACGGGTAGGGCGTTTGGCAGATACCAGGACTGAGGAGGATGCAGTCTGGCTTGGCCCCAAAAAAGACAGCCCAAGGACATCAGGGCTGGAAGACCCCAATATGCCCTTGTCCCATGGCCCCTGTGAAAGAGGGGTCTGGGTCCAGTGGTGGGAGGGCTGTGGGACTGGGTGCATGGAAACAGAGGGTATGAGGCGGTTTGTTCCCAGTGGGACCCATGAAGATGCAGCGCAGAGGGTCAGGTGGGGATGTGGAAGACGTAAGAGAAGTAGTTATAGGAGCAAGGCGTGGAGCTCGTGGAGGAGGCTGGGTCCAAACCCCAGCACTCCTGAGACCCAGGTCTGGGTAGGCCCGAGTGGGCTCTGTCAGGGCTCTGCCATCAGAGAAGCTTCTGGATTACATCTCAGGTTGCCTCAGAGAGAATCGGATGTCCTCTGGGACAGACCTAGGTTCTAATCCTGGCTCTGCCACATTCTGGTAGGATGACTCATGAGGCCTGGTTTCCTGGCCTGTAAAATGGCAAGGGAAGAGCAGGCTCAGCATGCACAAAGCCCTGACAGAGTGAGAAAGCACAGGAGGCAGGGTCAGAGATGAAGATGGGGCAGTCCCTGTAGGACATGTGGGTCAAGACTGAGAGTTTGGATTTTACTGTGAATGCACTGGGAAGGTTTGAGTGTGTATGATGGGGAGTGGCTGGGGGGTGAAATGACGTGATTTGAGTTTGGGAAAGGTTGCTCTGGCCGCTGAGTGGAGAACAGACCAGAGAGTCAGGAGTATTAATAGAAACAGGGAGACCAGGGCGGAGGCCACCATGGGCCTGCTGAGGTGGGAGATGACACGGCTCTGAGCAGGGCAGGGGCTGAAGAAAGCAGGTGCACCTCTCTGCACACCCCTGCTGGCCACCCATGCCTCTGGGCTTCTGCTGGCGTACTGTCTCACCCCTCCTCACCTGGTTTTATGTTCAGCTGTAGCACCTGGGGGACAGACTGTATGAGTCAGAGAAAACAGAAACAGCAGTCCCCAGGTCTCAGAGGCCCAACAATAGAGGTTTATTTTTCATTCAAGTTATAGCCCAGTGTGAATTGTCTGAGGAGGGGTGAGGGCCTGTCCTTCAAGGGACTCCAGCCCCTCTACCCAAAACTTCACTGGATTCTGGCAGGGGAGGGGAGAGAGAGAAAGAGATAGAGGGATGGCCGGCCGTGGTGGCTAACGTCTGTAATCCCAGCACTTAGGGAGGCCAAGGCAGGCAGATCACGAGGTCAGGAGATCGAGACCGTCCTGGCCAACATGGTGAAACCCCATCTCTACTGAAAATACAAAAATTAGCTGGGTGTGGTGGTGTGTGCCTGTAATCCCAGCTACTCGGGAAGCTGAGGCAGGAGAATTGTTTGAACCGGGGAGGCGGAGCTTGCAATGAGCCGAGATCGCGCCACTGCACTCCAGCCTGGCTACAGAGCAAGATTCCGTCTAAAAAACAAAAAAAAAAAAAGAAAAAAAAAGAGAGATAGAGGGATTAAGAGACACAGGAGATCATAGGTGAGATTTTTTTTAGGCCTAGAAGTAGAATAAATCACTTCCTCCCACATCCCATTAGCCAGACTTGGTTCTGGAGCCCCAGCTCACTGCAAGGGAGGCTGGGAAGCAGACCCGAGCTGATGCCGGGAGGAGGGTGCACGCCATGGCCTGGGGACCCATTCCACCAGGTTTCCCTCCTACGTGCTCCCACAGGCCATGAGGTGTTACATAGAGGATGTGAAGGAGAATCATTCTCTGCGTAGCCCCCTCCCTGCCTCTCCATCTGAGGTGTTCTGGGCTAGGACCCTTGACAAAAGAACAAACCGGCTCCATCCCCTGTCTCCTGGGGTGGGAGACTCTGTATGTGGGGGCTGCACCATCCCCCATTCTGCTCCCCACTTTCCTGGCTGCTGCACATCTCAGGGGCACGAGGGTGGAGAGTGGCCTACCTCCCTCCCTTGGTCCTACCCCGCTGGCCTGGGCTGCGCGCCTCAGGCTTCCTGTGTCTGACCTGGTCTTTGGGGCATCTGGGGTGCTCAGTAAATGTTTGTTGAATAAATAAAAGAAGGAAAGCAGGATGAGGAGGAAGAAGAGTCTTGGGCAGTATGTGCCAGGCAGACTGATGCTGTCTCATGGATGAAATAGCTGTACGCAGCTGCTCCTTGCAAGCTGGGTCTGTGACTTCTGGCTTTGGCTGCGGATGCATTTTTCTTTTCTTTGTATGTGTGTGCTTTTAAAGTTTTAACTGAATTCATTTATTTGGGGGCAGGAAATATGTTCATGCCATACAAAAGGGTCTATAGAGAAAAGCGTCCTTCCTAACCCTTCCTCACCTGGCTCTCCTCCCTGAGACAACCGGCGTTCCTAATTTCTTGCAAAGCTTCTGGGAATATTTGAGGCTTAATAAATGTTGGCTGTTATTCTCATGGTTGTGGCTGTTGTGTTTAGTATCCTCTCCTGCCGCCAGACAGCCTTACTCTAGAGGAGAGGGAAGGGCAGTGTGGAAGGAACTGGCCCTTACAGCAAGCCTGCAGTGCGTGGTCACATTAAATGCTTTATACACACCTTCTTGTCCAGTTCTCCCTTCATTTGGTAGGTCTGCACACTGAAGCACAGGGAGGCCTAAGTCACAGCCTCAATCTCCAGTCCTGCCCCTCCTGGGCAGCAGTGCTCCACGCTTCTTCTTTTCCAGCAGCGGGCTTTGCACATGGGAGTTGGGCCTGATTCTCTTTTTGGAGTCTTGAATTCCACTTTTCTCACATTTGCAGAGCTGCCGTCTCTGCTCTTCTCTCTCTTCTTCTCAGAAGAGGTGGCAGGCTGGGCGCAGTGGCTCACACCTGTAATCCCAGCACTTTGGGAGGCCGAGGGAGGTGGATCACCTGAGGTCAGGAGTTCAAGATCAGCCTGGCCAACATGGGGAAACCCCGTCTCTACTGAAAATACAAAAATTAGCCGGGCATGGTAGCACGTGCCTGTAATCCCATCTACTCGGGAAGCCGAGGCAGGAGAATCGCTTGAACTTTGTGGGCAGAGGTTGCAGTGAGCCGAGATTGTGCCACTGCACTCCAGCCTGGGTGACAGAGCTAGACTATGTCTCAAAAAAAAAAAAAAAAAAAAAAAGAGGCCACAGCTTGCAATAAAACCCCTCTGAAACAGGGAATCAGGAAAGGGAAGAAGCAGAGCTGCTGCTTCTGGGCTCTGAGGATGGAACTTCACAGGGTCTATGGGGCTGTGATGTAGCACGTAAATAGATGTGCATTTTTCTAAAGACCAATCCATAAGTTTCCATCATTTAAAAAAAAGAGCCCTGAGCTGAGCTCCCACGCCACCCTTCTCCCCCGCCAAAAAAGGGGGAGAAGGGTTAGGAACCATGACTTGAGAGGAAGAGGAAGGTTCTAGAATGTTCAGTAAGTGACCATCAAATTGTTCACAAAGACCTGATAGTCATCTCTGGGAAGTGCTAGCTAGAACAAACAGACAAGAGAAAGAAGTAAAGGGCATCCAAATTGGAAAGGAAGAAGTCAAATTATCCTTGTTTGTAGACGATATTATCTTATATTTCAAAAAGCCTAAAAACGCCACCACAAAACTATGAGAACTGATAAACAAATTCAGTTAAGCTGCAGAATACAAAATCAACATACAAAAGTTAGTAGTATTTCTATGTACCAACAGCAAACAATCTGAAAAAGAAATCAAGAAAATAACTCCATTTGGAATAGCTACAAATAAAATAAAATACCTAGGAATAAACGTAACCAAAAAAGTGAAAGATCTCTATAATGAAAACTATAAAACGTTGGTGCAAGAAACTGAAGAGGACACAAAAAATAAAAAGATATTCTATGTTTATGGATTGGAAGAATCAATATTGTTAAAATGTCCATACCACCCAAAGAAATATACAGACTCAATGTAATCCCTATCAAAATACTAATGACATTCTTCACAGAAGTAGAAAAAATAATCGTCAAATTTATATGGAACCACAAAAGATGCAGAGTAGCCAAAGCCATCCTAAGCAAAAAGAGTGAAACTGGACAAATCACATTATCTGACTTCAAATTATACCACAGAGCTACAGTAACCAAAACAGCGTGGCGCTAGCGTAAAAACAGATGCATTGACCAATGAACCATTGGTCAGAATAGGGAACCCAGAAACAAATCCACACACCTACAGTGAACTTATTTTCAACAAAATTGCCAAAAACATACCTTTGGGGAAAGGCCAGTCTTTTCAATAAATGTTGCTGGGAAAACTGGATATCCATATGCAGAAGAATGAAACTAGACCCTCATCTCTCTTCATATACAAAAATCAAATCCAAATGGATTAAAGACTTAAATCTGAGACCTCAAACTATGAAACTACTAAAAGGAACATTGGGGAAACTCTTTAGGACATGGGACTAGGCAAAGATTTCTTGAGCAATACCCCACCAGCACATGCAACCAAAGCAGAAATGATAGATGAGATCACATCAAGTTAAAAGGCTTCTACACAGCAAAGGATGCAATCAGCAAAGTGAAGAGACAACCCACAGAATGGGAGAAAATATTTGCAAACTATCTGACAAGGGATTAATAACTGGACTAGATAAGGAGCTCAAACATCTTTATGGAAAAAAATTATAGAAATCCCATCAAAAATTGGGCAAATGATCTGAATAGACAGTTCTCAAAAGAAAACATATAAGTTTATGAAAAGGTGCTCAACATCATTGATCATCAGAGAAATGCATGTCAAAACTACAATGAGATATTATCTCACCTCAGTTAAAATGACTTTTATCCAAAAGGCAGGCAATAATGAATGCTGGTGAGGGTGGGGAGAAAAGGGAACTCTCGTACACTGTTGGTGGGAATGTAAATTAGTACAACCACTATAAAGAACAGTTTGAAGAGTCCTCAAAACACTAAAAATAGAACTACTATATGATCCAGCAATCCCACTGCTGAGTATATACCCAGAAGAAAGGAAATCAGTATATGGAAGAGACATCTGCATTCCCACATTTGTTGCAGCACTGTTCACAATACCCAGGATTTGGAAGCAACCTAAGTGCCCATCAACAGATGAATGAATAAAGAAAATGTGGTACATATATGCAATGGAGTACTATTCAGCCATGAAAAAGAATGAGATCCTGTCTTTGCAACCACATGTTTGAAACTGGAGGTCATTATGTTAAGTGAAACAGGCCAGGCACAAAAAGACAAAGCTCACATGTTCTCACTTATTTGTGGGAGCTAAAAATTAAAACAATTGAATTCATGGAAATGGGAAGGGCAGTGATGGAGATGGGAAGGGCAGTGGGGGTTGGAGGGGTGGGGATTGTTGTTGGGTACGAAAACAGAATTAGATCGAATGAATAAGATCTAGTATTTGATAGCATAACAGGGTGACTTTAGTCAACAATAATTTATTGTACATTTAAAAATAACTAAAAGAGTATACTTGGATTTTAACACAAAGAAAGGATAAATACTTGAGGTGATGGATACCCCATTTACCCTGATGTGATTATTATACATTGTATGCCTGTATCAAAATAGCTCATGTGCCTCATGAATATAGACACCTACCACATGCCCACAAAATTAAAAACTAAAAAAAACAGTCATCTCTGAATGCTAAACGGAGTAAGGGGCTTCCTGGAAGGCTGGGTGAAATGGGAGTCTCGGAAAGATGGTGTGTTGCAGGCTGGGAGGAGGGTGAGACGCTGGGGTCACCTAGAGGGACCTGCTTGTGTGAAGCCTACGTATTAGTGGGTATGTGTGTGACCGGATGGAGGCGTCAGAGGTGTTGGGTAGCCTGTGTGAGTTGGCGTGGGGGTGATGTAGGAGGGGAGAGAGGGAGGGCCTGCGTTCCCTTGGCTCCTGTGTGCAGCTAGGCCCCTATTTGACAATGTGTGTCTGTGTGTGTGTGTGTGTGTGTGTGTGTGTGTGTGTGTGTGTGTGCCGCCCCCAGCGTAGGAGGCAGATCTTTATCTGGCCCTGGGTGCTTGAGGAGTTTCAGGCTTTCTCATAAGCCTCGTCTCCCCGCCTCTCCACCCCAGGCCTTGCCCCTCTATCCTCTGCACAGGAAGTGGGCTGGCTCTGGGCTTTTAGTCTTTGCGGCCCCAGCAGCCAGAGCTCAGCAGGGCCCTGGAGAGATGGCCACGGTCCCAGCACCGGGGAGGACTGGAGAGCGCGCGCTGCCACCGCCCCATGTCTCAGCCAGGTGATGTCCCCCTGCCTCCCTCCCGGCCCCTGTGGACCAGCCAGAGGGCTGGGAGTGAAAGTCACAGAGAAGACTTTCAGCTCTGACTCAGTTCCCCCAGCAGTTTCTGCCTGAACTCCCATCCCCCAACTTTGTCTTAGAATTCCCCTAGGGAGGGGTTGGGCCCAGCTCTCATGGCTCCTGGCTGGAGGAAAAAGCGGTCCCCAGTCCCAGGTCAGCTCTCCTTCCCAACCCATTCAGGGGAGGCTAGGGACTGCTGTGGGATGAGGGGCTTCCCTGGGCTCTGTGTGCTGGGCCCCCAACCCGGAGAGGTGGAGAAGGGATGGGTGGATAGCCTGGGTGCCCGGAGAGGGTACGGGATATGGGGTGGGACAGGCGGGAGCCCCCTCCTGACCTCTGTGGAGTGGGGCCCATATACCGGGGGAGGCAGCCCTGTGTTGCGTGCTCATCAGGAGGCTTGTGGAGTAAGTGGGGACAGAAGGGTCCCCTTGGAGAGCCATCTATGAAGTGAAGTTGCTGCGAGGCCTCTGGGAGCCCCAGGCTGGAGGCAGAGCCCTGGGTTTGAGTCTGGGTTTGTCCCTCCCTTGGCTGCATGACTGGACAGGTCAGAAGCATCTCCGGACATTGGGGATGGGACCCTATCTTTGGGGCTGCCTGGAGCTCATGCTCTCTCCTCTCCTGGGGGCCGAAGCCTCCCACTCTTAACTGTGTTTGTAGCACCTCGGGGGAGGGAGGTGGAGTGAGGAGCTGAGCTATCCCCAAGGGTCCCCTTCCTTCCCCCACAGCCAGGGTCCCGCACCCAGCTGGAGAAGCCCCTGAAGTTAAATAGCAAGAGACAAGCACTGTGTATGGGAGCAGGGGGGTGGCAGGTGGAGGTGGCCAGAGAGGACGAGGGGACATAGGCCCCATTGAGTTCAGAGGTCAAGTTGGATGAACCATGGGCTCCCGAGCTCCTGCTTTACCACCCTGCCCCAGCCACCATATACCCCTGATGGCAGCAGGGGCCCCGAACTGCACCTGACCAGGTTCAAATCCCAGCTCTATGCCCTTCTCGCCTGGGTGAGAGGTTGACCCGTTTCTTAGTCTCCTCATTTGGCAAAAAGGAGGCATACTAGAGCCTCCTCATGGGGCTGTAGGGAGGGCTAAAAGCTGAACTACCCCCGAGCGCTCAGGGCAGGCAGTGTAGGCAGAGAGAGAGCAGGCACCAGTCCCTGTCCCCAGCAGCATCTCTCTGAAAATCAGATGGCTGGGGTCAGCCGCTCCGGGCTTCAGTTCTGGCATGGATCAAATGGGGCAGCAAGACCCACCTTGCAGGGCTGTGGTGGGGACGTAGGCATCCGTGGGTGTGACCAGTTTCAGAGTCATGAACGACAGGGCACGTGTGGGTGTGCCTGAGGACCCAGGAGGGGGTGCTCAAACTCGAGGTCCTGGGCTCCACTTGCTGTCACCCGAGGCTGGGCTTCTCCTCACCGTGCAACCTTAAGTGGGTTCCTTGGCCTCCCTGAGGCACAGCTTCCCCATTGCAGAATGAGGGTGCAGCCTCAGTGACTGCCAGGCGCTCCCTCAGCTCTGTGCCCCTCTGGCACCCCCACACCATCCTCCCGTGGACTCTGCCCTCTCCGAGCATCGCTGCACCTCTGAGCTCCAGGCGGCGGGAAGCAGACTCCAGATGGCGCTTTCTCCTCCTGCCCGGCTGCCTCTAGGCTGGGCCTGTGGTTTACCCCTAACCTTCCTTTGACCTTGCACCCCTTTGTCCCTCAGCACCTTCCTCACACACTGGGGCTCTCTGCAGTTCCTGTCCTGGGCATGGGGTCATCCTGAGGCTGGGCCCGACCTGGGGTGACACCCACACAAAACATTGATGGTCCCCTTGCCCCAGGGCCAGGTTGGCATGATTGAGCGTGAAGGGGCATAGGGGCTATGGGAGTCCCCTGGTTGGGCTATGCACTCTTTGGGGTCCCAACCCTGTGCCCTCTGCTATTGGGGGATCCCAAGAAAGAGGTGAGCAGCCCCCACCCTGGGGAGCTCACCCTCCTGTGGAGACGGTAGGCCAGGCAAAGGCGAGCCCATGGTACCCCGAATAAGCACCTGCCAGTCTGTCTGTGAGCTGCTGGGTCCTGACTCCCAGGACAGAGAGGGTGGCAGCCTTACCTCTGGGACCAGTGTCTGGCAGGGTGGGACAGCATGAGAGAGTGAGCCTGGAGCCCTAGCTCCACCTCTTACTGTGTTTATGACCCTGGGCAAGTTAGGGGCTTGGAGCCTTAGTTTCCTCATCTGTAGAATGGGATAATAAAGCCATTGGGCAGCTTAGACGAGCTGGCATATGTGAGGCACTTGGCCCCAGGCCTAGCATAGAGTATGTGCTCAGTACACAGAACGAGTATTATTAGTTCACCAGTGCATATTTACTGTCGTGTGAGCTGTCGTGGTGGGAAGATGCGTCTGGGGAGTTCCAGGAGGGGAGGATCCCTGCCTGGGCACTGGGCAGTCTGCCCTGACTCAGATTCCAGAAAGGCCTCTTATCCACTGCATGACCTTAGGCAACGCACTTCACCTCTGTGTGCCTCCGTTTCCTCATTGGAAAATGGGGATAATAAGAGTATCCCCGCCAGAGGCCCTGATTGCTGCATTTAAAGAGTTTTAAATGGAGCCTGGCTTACAGTAACCTGTCAGCCGATGGTTTTGGTGTGACTAAGGGGGTGGCAGAGCGGCGTGGAGTTGGGTTCTGATCCCAGCTCTGTGCTGGGCTCCTGATGTAACCTTCAGCAAGTCTTTCCCACTTCGGGACCTCAGTGTTCTCAAATGTAGAACAAGGGACTGTGCTTGCTCAGAGAGCCTTTGCAGCTTTGACAGTGCGTGGGCCTCTGACTCTCACTCCTGTGACATCTGCCTTAGGAGATGGAACCCATGGCTCTTGGGGCCAGGGTGTGTGTCCCTGCTCCATGCTGGCTCTGATGTAAGCCACGAGACAATCCAGGGCCACCTAAAGAGCTCTGCTTTTTTTTTTTTGCCGTACTGAGGCCTCTGACCACACTCATTCATTTCACTACATTTATTGAGCACCGACTGTGTGCCCGGCCCTGTGCTCAGCAGTCCCTGGAGCGAGTGTGCTGGTGGGCCAGCCCCTGGTCAACGCCGGCCCTGCTGCTGCCAGCCTAGAGGGAGGAGCAAGGCGCTCAGAAGAGGAAGCCCTCGCCCTCCATCACGGAAATCAGGGAAGGCTTCATGGAAAAAGGCATGAGGGCCCGTTTGAAATGGGCTTGAAGGATGGCAGGATCTGTAGGGGACCCAGGGAAAGGATAGACTTGGGAAGGACCTTTGGAGGGTGAGTGTCGGTTTCCTGGTCACCTGGAGCCACTGGCTTGTGCAGGCAGGTAGGTGCGGTGTGTGTGTGCTTTGGCCTGGGTACATGCACCTGCTCCTGTGAGGGCAGGGTCTGGAAGGGTGGGCTGACCTCATTCCGGTCCCAGAAAGCCTCGAAAATGGGAATTTAGGCTTTGATTGCAACAGGGCCACTGCAGGTTCCTGGGCAGGGATGTGGGTGGTTGGAGGCGGGCTTCAGGGAAGGCAGGTGAGAGCCTGCAGATGGGGTGGTGCCGTTGTCTGGGCTGGAACGGCACGAGGCTGGCCTGGTGAGGGTGGGGAAGAGACAACAAGTAGTCACTGGAGTGTCCTGCTGTCTGAGGAGAGTCCTGACTGGCTAGGTATGGGGGCAAAGGTCACCTGGAATAGGAAGGGTACAGTTGTCCCAGAACTGAAAGTCAGACAGGAGAAGAGCTGGGGATGAGCTGGGTTTTTGCCGGGTCCAGGAGCATCCCCTGTGAGGGGGTCCTGCAGACCATCGGGAGGGACGTGGAGGCTTGGGGCTGAGCTGGAGAAAGACCCTGGGAAGCTGAGGGCTGGAGCCAGTGAGAGGCTCAAGAGAGAGAAGGGAAGGGGAGTGAGAGCTCGAGTTTGGAGCCGCTGGAGAAGGGGGAACAGCGGGGGAAATGCCCAACGCTCAGGAGCCTTGGAAGCTCTCGAGATGGAAGAGCAGGAGGGAGGGAAGGATGTTCCACCTCCTCCACATCTCTTGACTCACCTGCTCCTCTCCCCTCTCCCCCTGCCCCTCTGACTGAGGCTACCCTCATCTTTCCCTGGAAGCTCCCTCCTCATCTCCCTGCCTCCCCCTTTGCCTGCTCCAAACACCTCTCCTGGAAGCAGTCCCCTTATCTTCCCGAAGTGACCATGTGCTCACTTTCTCATTCCCCTCCGCACACCCAGCCCCTGCAGAGGGTGGGGGCAGCTACTTTTCTTTCCCATTTCCGCTGCGACAGTTGTGGTCTTGCCTCACGGGAGCTTCCACGGTTGGCTAGAGGTTCCCTGAGAAGCAAGTCTTTGTCTCAAAAAAAAAAAGTAAATAAATAAAGCACTGGCCAGTGGCCAGTGCATAATAGGCACTCCGGGAAAACTTTTGAGCCTCCCTCTGACAGGGCTGGCTTAGAGATTTCATGTCTCTTTCCTCCCTGGGGTATAATCTGGGTGACCAACCTGGCCCTGCCTCCAGGGAGCTTCCAGGCAGGTAGGGGAGTACGAGTGTGGACAAGGTCCTCCGTAAAGGCTACTGCAGCCCTCTGTGCCTCAGTTTCCCCTGTCCTCTAGGGCTCTTCAGTGTTTGGGTCAGAGCTCCTATCTGCTTTTCTGCTTTTCCGAGTTCGCGTCCTGATGCCTTCACACCATTGCCTCAGCTCCCTCGAGGGACAGTGAGGGGCAGAGGCAGGGGCTAGCCTCAGAGCCCTCTGGAAGCCCCTCTACCTGCTGACTTTAGCTCTGTCTATATTTATTCCATCACTTGTTTGTTCAAGAATTTTTTTTGGCCAGATGCCTACTATGTGCCAGGCACTGTTCTAGGAATTGTGGACCTAGCAATGAACAAAACACAAAAATACCTGTCCTTAGTGAGCTTACGTGACTCTGTGTGTGTTTGTGAAGAGAGATAGAGGAAAACATGAATCAGTCAATAAACGATGAATAAATAATGCTATGATGAAAATGTAGGGGGGTGGTGAGTAACAAAGGGTGCTTCTTTTATTTTTTTCTTTGAGACAGAGTCTTACTCTGTCGTCCAGGCTGGAGTGCAGTGGTGCCATCTCGGTTCACTGCAAACTCCGCCTCCAGGTTCAAGCAATTCTCCTGTCTTAGACTCCCGAGTAGCTGGGACTACAGGCACCCACCACCTTGCCCGGCTAATTTTTGTATTTTTAGTAGAGACAGGGTTTCACCATGTTGGTCAGGCTGGTCTCAAACTCTTGACCTCAGGTGATTCGTCTGCCTCGACCTCCCAAAGTGCTGGGATTACAGGCATGAGCCACACGCCTGGCCACGACGGGTGCTTCTTTATGTAGTCTAGTCAAAGAAGACCTCTCAAAGGAGGCTGCAGTTGAGCAGAAACTTGAAGGAAGGGTGTGAGCATGTGTAGGGTGGTGGGATTAGCAGGTGCAAAGGCCCTGGGGCTGGACTGAGCTGGCACCGAGGAGTGCAGACCATGCACACTGAGGGGGCGGGCCCAGCCTGCCTCTAGGGGCAGCGAGGCCTGGGATGTGTATTTACGTGTGCTCTCTCTTTCTCCTCTCCCACCAGGGCTTCCTTCCTCGGCTCCACCCTGTGGATGTAATGGCGGCCCCTGCTCTGTCCTGGCGTCTGCCCCTCCTCATCCTCCTCCTGCCCCTGGCTACCTCTTGGGCATCTGCAGCGGTGAATGGTGAGGACCCTGACATCTGAACAGCTCTGCTTTCCCTATGGAGAGATGGCTAAGGCCCTGCTAAAGCCTCTTCCCAGAAGGGGATGGGGCCAGAGACCAGGTGTCCACCTCCTGCCTCACCCTCTGTCCTGGACCCCTGCCCTGGCATGCATGCATGAATGCGCGCACACACACACACACACACACACACACACACACACGCCTCTCCAAGCCACAGGCTTGTGCTACTTTCTGTCCCTGCCTTGCCTTAGTTTGCCTGTAGGAACTTGCAGGCTCTGGAGCTCCATTTCCTCCTCTCTGAAGTGGGTCCATGAATCCCTTCTCCGCTTGCCAGAGTTACCCACCTCCTCCTCTGGCAGGTGTGGGTGCCAGGTGCAGGGGCAGTGGGCGTGTCTTGGGGGGGCTGTGGGCACCTACAGTCAGCACTCACACCTCATCTTGCCCGGCAGGCACTTCCCAGTTCACATGCTTCTACAACTCGAGAGCCAACATCTCCTGTGTCTGGAGCCAAGATGGGGCTCTGCAGGACACTTCCTGCCAAGTCCATGCCTGGCCGGACAGACGGTGAGTCCACTGGCCACACTGCAGAATCTTAGGATGGTGGGATCTCATATTCTGGATCCTATGCACTGGACTCCAAGGAGTCAACGTTTACAGAATCTTGGACTAATGGGACCCACAGACTTTTTGAATCACAGGAGTTGGGGCCCAGGCCTGGAATCAAGGGATCGTTTAAGAGAATTTGGGAGTCAGCTATTTAGACTTCTAGAACCTGGGTGGAGTCCAGGCTGCAGTGGAGGGGCTGGGGATGAACTGGACAGGGTAGTTTGGGGACACTGAGCTGCAAGCCTGCTATGCCAAGGCTGGACTCCACTCTAGAGGCAAGCAGAGAGGAAGTGGGGAGAAAGGAGGGTCCCCAAGCTTTTTGGATAAGCTCGGATTTTGAGAGACCCTGTAGGCAGCTGTGGGGACAGGGAACCTGGGAGTGGTTTGGGTGCCTGGTGGATGGGAGAGAGATGTCACTGTGATGTAAACATCCAGGCGGCCAGTGAGTGAGGGACTGACCCCAGGTAGGCTTGATGGGGTCAGGGAGAAGAGGAAGACCACAGAGAGGTGGCTGGGCCCAGGTGGATTCCATAGGGTGTGGGGTGGGGGAAAATGGGGAGGGAGATGGAGGGGTAAGGCAGGTTCGGGCCCTGGCTTCTGGGTGGGTGGTGATTCCACACGGCTCTGAAGGCCTAATTAAGGATCTATCTTCATCCTAAGCCTCATGGAGCTTTGGAGGGCTCTAGGTGGGGAGGACTGCCTGTCTTGAAGTGGTTTGTGTTTCTAGATCACTCCAGCTGCCGTGGGACCAGGCTGGGATGAGGGAGCAGGACAAGGTGCCCATGAGGGAGGAATGCCATGGAGCCAGTGGGGGAGGCAGTGCCCCTCACAGTGGTTGGCACAGGGGCCCCAGCCTGGCCTTGCTGCCTGGTGCCATCCTGGCAGCAGAGAGATCTGAGAAGAGTCCCTTGGGCCAGCTGTGTGGGTCCTTCCTGTTCTTCTAAAGAGGGTCTTTTGCCATGAAAGGCGGTGGAACCAAACCTGTGAGCTGCTCCCCGTGAGTCAAGCATCCTGGGCCTGCAACCTGATCCTCGGAGCCCCAGATGTGAGTAGCCCACCCAGGGAGAGAGTGCAGGGAGAGGGTGGTCTCCCAGCTCCGGGCTGCGATCTCAGGGTGGGCCGGATGCCAGGGGAAGAGCTGAGGCCCAATGGCTGGGGCTGTGGCTAAGCAGGATGCCCAGCGCTGAGCAAGAGGCAGAGAAAAACAGGTGACACCCCAGGGAGTGGACTCAGGCCTGCCCCAGGGCCGACGGACCCTCTGTATGTGAGGCATCTGCCATTCTGCCTCTGCTCCTGCTGTCTCCCCTGCGCTTTGTGGGTCCTGTGACACTTGTGTTCCTTATCAAGTAAGACAGCACTCCAGTAACTGTAATGACCACACCCAGCTCTTCCCGGGGGCTTGGCAGTGCAGTGCAGTGTGGGGGGTGAAGGGTGTAGACTCTGGAGCTGGATGCTCCAGCCCTGGCTCACCAGCTGGGTGACATTGGGCAACCCCTGTGCCCCAGTCTCCCCTTCTGTAAAATGGGCATAATAATGGCACCTACCTTGTTGGGTCAAGGCCCAACAAGGGCCTTGTTTTTCAGGCCCTCCCCAGCCTGAAGGTGGGACCTCACCAGGGACCCGCCTCCTTCTGCCCAGGCTGCTCGGGCCAAGGGGCACCTGCAGGCCAGTGCCAAGCTGTCCCCTGCACCCCCGTGGCTTCCCATCCCCCTGTGCTCATTGGTGCCTAAAGTCCAGAGGGGGCCGAGGCAGCTGGGGCCAGTGAGTCAGTGCTGCCTCGAGCGTGCCAGGCTGTGGTAGTGCCTGGGCTTGGTCCCGCTCTGAGATTGGAGTGGGCACTGGAGCAGGAGGAGGCCAGACAGTGGGAGCAGACACCCCTGAGCTTGTGGGGGCAGTAGAGATGCCTGGGTCCTGGCTTGGGCAGCTGCAGCTGCCCCAGGAGAGCTCCTGGCTACCTCGGAAGGGGCAGGGGTCCCGCTTGTCCCCGACTCACACTGGATCCACAGAGTGCGTAGCCCCGACTGTGCCTCCAGGATCAGATCGGGTGCCAGAAGCAGGGGAGAGGCCAAGCAGTGGGAACAGACAGCTCTGAGCCTGCGGAGGCAAGGGGGGATCTTCCCAGACCCTGAGAGTGCAGGGATGCCTGGGTCCACAGCCACAACTTGGGTAGCTGCAGCTGTGCCCGGGAGGGTGGGTCTCCTGCGTGCTCCCTGCTTGCAAGATCACCTGGAGGCTTGGGTTTGGACCAGGGCCCCTGAGAGTGCAGGGACACCTGGCTCTGTGGCCACGACTTGGGTGGCTGCAGCTGCGCCCAGGAGAGCGGGGCTCTTGCCTGATCCCAGCCCCCAACAGCACCAGGAGGCCTGGGTCCACAGCCAAGACTTAGGCAGCTGCAGCCCTGCCTGGGAGGGCAGGGCTCCTACCTGCTCCGTGGAGCAGGAGACCCCAGCTACGCCTCCCGGCTGCAGCCAGAGTTTTAGCAGCGGCCACTCCGGATGGGCAGCTGCGGCCTTCACCTACAGCCCCATGGGTCAACATCAGCACTGTCCCCTTCTTACCAATGAAGACACTGAGGCTCAGAGAGGTATGGTCTCTGCCCAAGGTCACACAGCCAGGAAGTACACAGCTGGGATTGAACCCAGGCCTGCGGGCTCCCAGTTCAGGCTTCTCACCGTTGCATTAGGCTGCCTCTTGCAGGGCATATGGCCATGTCCATATGAGTGTACATCAAATTATTGTCTGTCAAAGCCTCCTGGGCGGCAGCGGGCTCCAAGGACACCCGGACCACATCTTCCATCAGGTTATATGTCTTCTTGAGGGGCAGGAGAGTGTGAAGATGGAGTCACACAGTGTAGCTGATAAAATCACAGCCTCTGGAACCGGATGCTGTTCCCCTTGCAGGGAGCTCTGTAGGTGGCCTGGTTTCTGATCCTGGCTCCACCATTTCTTAGCTGTGTGACCTCAGGCAAGTCCCTAAGGCTCTCTGTGCTTCAGTCTCCTCAGCTGTAGAATGGAAATAGTGACAGTGCCTGTGCCCAAGTTGAGAGAATTAAATGAGACAATATATGTAAAGTGCTCTCAAGAGTGCCCGGCACAGTGTGAGTGATCACGCGAATGTATGATTGGCAATATTTTTATAACAATAATAGTAATAATAATAATAATAATAATAATAATAATAATAATAATAATGAGACTACTATCATCGGGGAAAATCTAGCCCCCATAGCAGCTATAAGAAGGCTAGGACAGGGTCTATAGGGTGGAGAGGAACTGGCCAGTTTGGGGAATTCCAACGATCAGGTTTAAGGTTTGCCCATAGTGGGTCTTATGCAGACCAGAGGGACGGTGCCCAAGGTCCCGGCCCTGAAATCAGCATCCTGGACCCCAGATCCTAAGAGGCCTGCACTAGAGCTTCCTCCCGCAGGGCTGCCGGGCTGTAGGGTTGGCAGCTGCACAGTGGCAGGATGCCTTAAGCTGCTCACTCGGCAGCCCTCTGTCAGGCATGACAAGCCAGGACTCGGAGATGCAGTCACCCTGTAGGGGGACACAGAGGGCCTGGGTTTAAACTTGGGCTCCCCTGCTGTTCATCTGCATGACCTGGCGCAGGTCCCTTGACCAGCCCAAGCCTCAGGCTTCCCACCCATACCATGGGATGGATGCTGTGTGCATTGAGGGGCTAAGGCATCTGAGCAGTGACTGCTCATAGGAAAATGCTCAATACCTGGCCATTTTCTTCCAGAAAATTCAAGGCGTAGGGATGGGGAGAGATAGGGGAGGGGAGGGCCTTTCACACTAAAAAATGTTAAACAGGTATAGTTCCAGAACTGTACCTTTGTGGGGGCTTACCAGCTTGCATGCCTCCTGTAACAGGGAGCTCACTCCCTCTCAAGGTAGCTCACTTCATTTTAGATCAAGTGTTGGTAAACTACCTTGACCCATAGGCCATATCCAGCCCACTGCCTGTGTTTCTAAATAAAGTTTTACTGGAACATGGCCCTAATATTCATTTACATGTTGCCTACGTCTGCTTCATACTACAGTGGCGGAGTTGAGTCATCGTGACAGAGACCATGTGGCCCCATAAAGCCAAAAATAGTTACTATGTGGCCTTTTACAGAAAACATTTGCTGCCCCTGCCTTGGGTGGCGGGGCATGTGGAGAGGCTGCCATCCTTCCCAGGTCATCCCGGTGGCCTCCCCCTTCCCCTGCCTGAAGCTGCTAGAAGTTTCACCCCTGCCCTCCTTCCCTTGCAGTCTCAGAAACTGACCACAGTTGACATCGTCACCCTGAGGGTGCTGTGCCGTGAGGGGGTGCGATGGAGGGTGATGGCCATCCAGGACTTCAAGCCCTTTGAGAACCGTGAGTGAGGAAGCCAGGGTGGGGCTGGGGCAGGGCTGGGCACCTCCTTCCTTCCACCTCCTCTGGGATCTTCCCTGCTCCAGCCTTTCTCCCCGGCAGCTTCCACACCCACATCTGATCACCTCACCGCCCGCTGTTCTCGGGATGACGTCCTGGCTCCTTCCTCTGGCATTCAAGGCCGCTCAGGATCCAGCCCTGGGCCTCCTCCCCGGCACTCCTCCTCTTGAGGCCTATATTTCTGCTACAGCCAAAGGCCAACTCTCCAAACCCACCTTGCCTATCCCTGCCTCTGAGCCCTTGCACATGCCGATCCCACTGCCTGGAAGGCCCTTTACACCTGGAAAATTCCCACTCACGTTTCGAGGCTTAGTTGAAAGTCACTTCCTCCAGGAGGCCTTCCTAGACTCCCCTAGCCCTTTGTACCTCCTCTTTCTGGGAATGTATGTCCTGGGTTGTTACTGCCTGATTGTAGGTCTGTCTCTTTCACTGGGCTGTGAGCACCCTGAAGGCAGAGTCTCTGCCACCCCTGTGTCTCCTTGCCACGCACCCAGCACTAGGTCTCATCAGGACAGTGGTCTGGGAAGGTTTGTTGAATGCCTGAGCGACTGCCTGCTGACCTTGGGGGCCATCTCCAGGGAAGCAGTGGGGTGGAAAGTGAGAGTCAGGCCTGAACTGGATGTGATCTGACTGGCAGACCATCGAAACTTTCTGAGCCTGAGTTTTGGGGAGAATCGGAGTCACCTACCTACCAGGCTTGTAAGGCATCTTTGAACTGAGACATAGAAACTGCTTACCATGTAGTCAGCACTCAGCATCTGCTTATCACTTATGTGGTTCTATAGAGTCTTAGAAGTATAGAAACTGAGATTCATTTAACTTCAGAATCACAGTGTTATAATCATCACACTTAAAATAAATGAGATGATCCATGGAAAGCTCTCAGGTCAATTGTAAGTGCAGAGAAAAGCTGCCGTGAGTCATTCATCCAGCAGCTACTGAATCAAGTGCCAGGTAATCTTCCAGGTGCCAAGGACACAGCAGACAACCAAGTCCCTGCCCTCAAGGAGCTCACAGTCTGCTGGGGGAGACAGAAAATGAGTAAAGAAACCAAACCATATATTTCGTAGGTCAGGTGATGATAAGCACTGGGAATAAAAGTGAAACAGGCAAGGGGGATGCAGAGTGGTGAGTGGTCAGGGAAGGCTTCTCTCAAGAGGTGATCATTGAGAGAGGCCTGGAGGCAGTGAGGGAGCGGGTCCTGGGGCTTTGGGTCGGGGGGTAGGGGAGGTGGTAGCATGTGCCAGGAGGGAGGAGTGGCAGGTACAAAGTGGGAGGTGGAGGTCATGGCTGACTGCTCTCCCCTACCCCCTGTTGTCTCCAGTTCGCCTGATGGCCCCCATCTCCCTCCAAGTTGTCCACGTGGAGACCCACAGATGCAACATAAGCTGGGAAATCTCCCAAGCCTCCCACTACTTTGAAAGACACCTGGAGTTCGAGGCCCGGACGCTGTCCCCAGGCCACACCTGGGAGGTGAGAATGTGGCCCAGTCCGTACCTGCCTTGGTTCCTCCTTCCTGTCCTGGTCCATGTCCTGTCCCTTTTTCATTGTGTCGAGGTCCCCTCAGCCCCAGGTGGATGGTGGGTGGCTGAGTCCAGTGCTCTTTCTGCACTGCCTGGGGCTGCCTCCCCGACTTCCACGTCCTTATCTAGCCCCCTTAATCCTGGGGATCCAGCTGGCAGCAGGTTCCAGGCTGACACCAGGGAAAGATTCAGAAAGCCAGGAGATAGGCAGCTGCCCAGCCCCATGGGCTTTCAGAGGCCAGGGAAGCCAACCCTCCACGTGTCAAAGCCCATCTGCTCCACATCCGTGCGGGCCTGTTGCTTATTCATTCACTTACACTCATTTCTTCATTCACTCAACTGCTCACTCAATAAATATTTGCTGAGCACCTACTATGCGCTGAATGATGGGGAGAGAGCGGAGGGTGAGCTCAGCAAACTTCCACTCTCAGGAATCTCAGACTGGGGCAGGGCAGGCAGGCAGTCAGTCAGCAGATGTAGCGACAGGGTCTGGGATAGTGAGGCACCCGGATAGTGATAAGTTCCATCAAGAAAACCCAACGGGGCAAGGAATTTGACAGTGACTGGCACAGGCTACTTCAGACTCAGGTGACCAGGGAAGGCCCCTTGGACACCTGGGTGTCCAGAAGGAGCTGACCTGCAAAGATCTGGGGAGAAGTTTTGCAAAATTAGAAAGACCTGCCACGGCAAAGGCAGGATGCTGCTATGTGTCTGGGGAGCAGGAGGAGGCAAAAAGAGTGACCCAGGGTGGGAGAGGTGTGCGGAGACGTCCCACTTTCTGGTCCTGTGGAGACTAGACTGCAGCGGGGCACGGGTGGGAACCAGAGACCAGCTGCAGGCTTGGGAGAGGGCGGCAGCTCAGGCCTGGGGTGAGTGCGGCGGGGAGAGAGGGGGATGGTTCTGGAATGGCTATGGAGGTGGAACCAGGTTCTGGAGGTGGAACCAGCTGATTAGCTGATGACTTGGGCTTTAGGGGATGACCCTGGGGTTTGAGGCCCCAGCAACTGGGTAGTGAGGGAGCTTTGGGTGGCAAGGAAGTGGGGGTGCAGCTGGCAGGGGTTGGGGGGGGGTTCTGTGATGCTCAGCCTCCTGGCCCTGCCATGGGAGGTGAGGTGGGCGCTGACAGTCCTGTCTCCGACCCAGGAGGCCCCCCTGCTGACTCTCAAGCAGAAGCAGGAATGGATCTGCCTGGAGACGCTCACCCCAGACACCCAGTATGAGTTTCAGGTGCGGGTCAAGCCTCTGCAAGGCGAGTTCACGACCTGGAGCCCCTGGAGCCAGCCCCTGGCCTTCAGGACAAAGCCTGCAGGTACTGGTGGGCGGCAAGGGTGAGAGGGGGCTCAGGCAGGAGGGGGCGGCTGGAGGAGGAGCTGCTCCATTCTCTCCCTGCCTGGGGTGAGGGTATAGCAGTCAGCTCCATCCCTCACTTGCTGTAACCCTGCAGGGGGCTCGCTTTTCAGACAGGAACAGGGGTTCAGTGAGGGGACGGGGCTTGCCATGGGCCTTGTGAGTTGGGGAGGGGTCGAAAGGCTGTTTTCACTCTTCTCCACCCTGAAATCTCCAACTCCTGGTTTCTTCTGGGGCTGGGGGTGGCTGCTTTCACCTCTCGGCCTGATCTGTGAAATGGGTACAGTGACCGTGAGGCAGAGCTGCTGTGAGGAAGGCGTGTGATGTCCCGGCAGCCTGGCCCTCAGCAGGTCTGCTGGGCGCCTGTCCCTCATCGCACCACATTTCGAGTTCAAGCCCAAGCAAGACCTGGGGTCCTCTAAGTGGTGCTTGGAGGGAGGTGGAGAGAGGGGTGCAGCCAGCTGGAGCCCAGGCTGCTGTGGGGGTGGTGGGGGGCTGTAGGCTCACCAGGGGGGCCCATGGGATCTGTCTGGAGCTGGAGGAGCTCTTAGAATGCCACCGTGTCATTTCTTTTTAGCATGAAATCTGGCTTCCCAGAGGATGGGCTTAGCAGAACCCTGTCCCCAGCCCCCCAGACGCAGGCCTGCGTGGCAGGGCCCTGGATGGGGGTGTTGGGGTGACCGACCCAGGGTGAGTGAGGGCACTTCTCTAACCCCTCTCCTTGCTGTTTCTCCCACCCCTGGGCAGCCCTTGGGAAGGACACCATTCCGTGGCTCGGCCACCTCCTCGTGGGCCTCAGCGGGGCTTTTGGCTTCATCATCTTAGTGTACTTGCTGATCAACTGCAGGAACACCGGGCCATGGTAAGAAGGTTCTCCTCCCCTTCCTTCATGCTCCCACCCCTCCAACGTGCACACACATGCACACACATGCACACACACGCACACAAGCACACATACACACACACACACACTTACATGAACACATGCCACCTTGCCAGGTCAGATTCTGGACCGAACCCCCTGCTCTGATACACCCGTGCTTCGTCTACCCTCCAAAGAGTCCTCCCTGTCCAAAACCTGGCCTTTCCCTGTGTCGCATCCCCACAGGGGGGCCCTGTGGAACCAACCCGAGGGGAAGGTGGGAGGTGCAGCCCTCCAGGGAGAGCCCCGGGGCCCTGTCCAGAACACTGCTCTCAGGACTGGGGATGCCCGTGTGCACATGTCAGCTGTCTCTGTGTCTGGGTCCCCGCCGGTCCATCTAGGTCTGTCATTCGCTTATTCCCATATTCACTGAGTACGAGCTGCATGCCAGGTACAGCTCAAAGAGCTGGGAACACAGTGGCAGGCCGCATGCATGCGCCCCAGCTCCAGGCAGCTCACGGCCCAGTGGGGGAAGGCAGACAATCATGCAGGTGTGTAATGACACACCGGGATCAGGATGGCAGAGGAGGATGTCGACGTATTGCCATTCCTTAGGATCCATGGAAACCAGTTCCAGGACCCTCCCTACCCCCTACAGATACCAAAGCTGGTGGATACTCAAGTCTCTGATTTTTGTTTTATTTTATTTATTTATTTTTTGTGAGATAGAGTCTCACTCTGTCACCTAGGCTGGAGTACAGTGGCGCAATCTCGACTCACTGCAACCTCCACCTCCAGGGTTCAAGCGATTCTCCTGCGTCATCCTCCCGAGTAGCTGGGACTACAGGCACACGCCACCGTGCTCTGCTAAGTTTTTGTATTTTTAGTACAGACGGGGTTTCACCATGTTGGCCAAGCTGGTTTCAAACTCCTGACCTCAGGTGATCCACTCGCCTTGGCCTCCCAAAATGCTAAGATTACAGGTGTGAGCCCCCACGCCCGGCCTCAAGTCCCTGATTTAACACAGCAGAATATTTGCGTGTAACCTACACACACCCTCCCAGAGACTTTAGGTCATCTCCTAGATTACTTATAATACCTAATACCATGTAAATGCTATGTAAATAGTTGTTATGCTGTATTTTAAAAATTTGTATTATTTTTTATTATTGTATTGCTATGAGGGTTTTTTTTTCCTGAATATTTTTGATCAGAGATTGGCTGAATCCGTGAGTGCAGAACCCACGGATCCTGAGTGCTGACTGTATCAGGAGCAGAAAACAGGGAGGGGAAACTTGGCTGGGGCGTGGCCAGGGCTGGTTTCCCTGAGGAAGGGATGATTCTGTTGAAATCTGTAGTGGGAGCCCATGGGGGGTGTGGAGGGGATGGGGAGAGTGTCCCAGGCAGAGGAAACAGCATGTGCAAAGGCCCTGGGCAGGCAGGAGGGAAGAAACTTCCAGGAACAGAGTGCAGGGGCGCTGGTGTGGCTGGAGACAGAAGTGGGTGGGGCAGGAGGCTGAACTTGAGCCTGGGCCTGTGGCGGCAGTGATGCTTCCTGGGGCCTCAGGCTGTGGTGAGGACCTGGGCCGTGTGCCGAGCAGTCATGGAGGGTTTCCCCAGAAGTGGGACAGGATCCACTTCGCCCTCTGTAGCCCTGGCTGCTGTGTGGAGCGTGGCCTGGTGGAGGGCAAAGCGGTGAGGAGGTGACACTTCTGACCGGGGGTTGTGGCCCCCTGATGAGAGCCCTGCTTCTCCCAAGAGGTTTGCAAAGCGTGCCTAGCTGTGTCACCTCACTCGACTTTCCCCAGCACTGGGAAGGCAGTGAGTCAGGGGCTACCATTGCCTTTTAACTGATGCCAGGACTGGCCAGAGAAGTCAGCTGACTTGCCCAAGGTCACATAGCCAGTTAGGAGTGACTGCCGCTCTCCTGACCCTCGTCCTGGAGCAGTGGTTCTCGGCAGTGTTCGGAGCCCCGTTTCCTCTTTCCTCCCAAGAAGACAAGCATTCCTCCACCCACCCGTCCCCTCCGCCCACAGCTCCCTGCAGGCCTTCAGGGAAACCATGTCCCTGTAGAGGGAGAGGTCCTCTCCCAGGCATGGGTTCAGTGGCCTCCAGACTGCCCTCCTCCTTGTCGTTCTTGCGCCCCTTCAGTGCTTTCTCCACCATGTCATTCTCCTGTTTAACACTCTTCAGAGGCCGCTCACTGCGCTGCAGTACACCCTGGCCCTTGAGGGCCTCCACCAGCTGTGTGGAACCTTTGGGCAAATCAAAAATGGTGCCTCTTTCTTCACGGTGATGTACACAGCTTCCAGGCACTCAGCTTAGCAAGCAGAACATGGGCTGGAATTCAGCCTCACTCACCACCACCTTTCCCACTCCCTGCCCAAGCCTAATGCCCTTGGGCAGTGTACAACCTGAACCACCATCCATGGCAGCCCTGACAAGAAAGCCCATCTCCTCTCTCCCGCCTCCTGGTTCATTCCACTTCTTCTAGCCATCTCCGTCCCTGACCACTCTGGCTTGTGTGTTCACCCCCATCGACCCCCACCTCCCCGTCTTGTGTAGCACTGTGCTCTCTGTCTCCACAGAATGAATGGTGATGTTGCAACATGCTTTGTGTCCATCTCCCCATGAGAATGTCAGCTCCTTGAGAGCAGGGACCTCCTTTGTTGGCCATTCTTGTCTCCCCAGTGCCCAACACAGCGTCCTCCCACAGTGAACACTTAGTATCGGCGGAAGAAATACATAAGTAAATGTGGTGCGGCTCCGTGCCTGGCATCCAGAGCTGTGGTGCCGATGGCATAACACCGCGGTCCTTCCCTTTCTCACCCTCCTCCTTCCCTCCTCTCCTCTGTCCAGGCTGAAGAAGGTCCTGAAGTGTAACACCCCAGACCCCTCGAAGTTCTTTTCCCAGCTGAGCTCAGAGCATGGAGGAGACGTCCAGGTAGGAGGCCGGGGCGGGGAGACAGAGGTGGGCAGGGGTGTGAGTGGGATGAGGGGGTGGCAGGTTAGTAGCTAATTTTGTGTTTTGTGAGAGGAGACAAAACGCCGAAGTGAGCAGCCTCCGGGGTGTGCATGGGTCTCTTCTCCAGCTCTGGCACTTTCCATCTGAGCCAGACTGCCTGGGTTCTAATCCCAGCTCCACCACATTCTGGCTGTGTGACCTTGGGCCTATAGAGCCTCCCTGGGCCTCAGTTTCCCCACCTGTTAGATGAGGAGAAAAACAGTGTTACTATGTGTCCTGCCCTGAGTACATTGCCTGGCACGCAGTTAGTGTTCAAAAGAACCCTATCAGGCTGGGTGCAGTGGTTCATGCCTGTAATCCCAGCACTTTGGGAGGCTGTGGCAGGTAGATCACGAGGTCAGGAGTTCGAGACCAGCCTGACCAACATGGTGAAGCCCTGTCTCTACTAAAAATACAAAAATTAGCCGGGCTGGTGGTGCATGCCTGTAATCCCAGCTACTCAGGAGGCTGAGACAGGGGAATCGCTTGAACCCAGGAGGCGGAGGTTACAGTGAGCTGAGATGGCACCACTGCACTCCAGCCTGGGCGACAGAGTGAGACTCCATCTCAAAAAAAAAAAAAAAGTACCCTATCTGGTATTACCGTTGCCGGTGTGCTGAACGAACAGGACCTGCCAGCACAAGCTCTCTCCACCCCACTGTCTGTGCAGACATGCTCTGTGCTTCTCCTGTCCCTGCTCAAAATTCCTGAGCAGGCTCCATAACTTAGCGTGGATACTAACAAGTCTTCCCGTCACTTTGAGTCACAAAACACCGATTCATTTTTAAAGTGCCGGCCCGCAGATCAGTAACGCTCTAAACTCCATCTCAGATTCCGTCGTCTCCTCTTCCCCAGCCCATGCCCCCTTCAGGCAGGAAGCTTCAAGAATGAAGGGGGGACATGGGGGGTACTTTTTACCACCCTAGCCCCACTCTAGGCTCCCAAGATTGGGGGGTGGGGATGAGGTAGGGGCAGAGGGAGGTCAAGAAGAGTGGCGGAGGAGGAAAGCCATGCCGGACCAGAGCTGTCATGACCTGGCTTTGGAGTTCTCTATCAGGGCTGATCAAGGGCCCCTTCTGGAACTCCTTGGAAAACTCCCAAGATGAGAATATCTTAGTTGCAGTGCTTTTATTTATTTATTTATTTATTTATTTTTTGAGATGGAGTCTTGCTCTGTCGTCCAGGCTAGAGTGCAATGGCACGACCTCAGCTCACTGCAAACTCTGCCTCCTGGGTTCAACCGATGCTCCTGCCTCAGTCTCCCGAGTAGCTGGGACTACAAGCACACACCACCACACTTGGCTAATTCTTGTACTTTTAATAGAGACGGGGTTTTGCCATGTTGGCCAGGCTGGTCTTGAACTCCTGATCTCAGGTGATCTGCCCGCCTCGGCCTCCCAAAGTGCTGGGATTACAGGCGTGCGCCACCGTGCCTGGCCATTAGTTGCAGTACTCTTAATGTGCGGGAATGTATTTCCTTAAAATTCTTCCCTCAGCCTTGAGGGTAGCAAGATTCCCATCTATAAAGGTATTCAAGCAAGCCATGGTTGCCTATGTGTCAGAAGCATAGAGATTCTCCCATTGAACTGGTTGGAGGCTGCGGTAGATTAGCTGCATGCTCAGATACCTTCCAGCTTCAAGTCCTGATTCTATGAACCTACAACATCGTGAGGTGGGAGCTGCAAACCATTCCAGCTTCCCATGAGGGTATGGTATCCTTGGGTCTAGTGTGTGGAGCGGGGTCCTGAGGAAGAAGGCATGATGTGGCTGGGGGTTGGGGATGGCAAAGCAGGCCCCACCTTTTCTGCATCTGGGTGAGAGACCTACCCCTCCACCCTAGGACCCACAGGGGCCACAAGGCCCACCCCCACTTCCCAGGGGATCGTGGAACGTGTGTGCGAGTGTGGGAGTATGTGTGAGGGGCGTGAGTGTCTCCTGAAGCCCCTTTCAGGGCATTGTGGGCAGAGGCTCAGGCCCAGGAAGTAGCTGGCCACAGGCAGTGGGTCCCTGGCTCACCGGCACTGGCCACAGGCCTGGCCGCTCCCTCTCTGGCTGCACACACAGGGCTGCTGTCTGGCCCCGCCCTTGCCCTGGGTATCATGAATCTCACCCGACCAGTGCTTCTTCCTCTCTGCCCAGCCAGCGACCCTCTTTGCCATCCTCAGTTTATCCTTTCTGCCTCTCTCAGCCTTTTCTTTTGTGACATAACTCCTGGTTGCAGAAAGGGGGCGGATTTAATTGAGTGGTGTGTGCACGTGTGTGCATGTGTGCATGCATGTAAGCGTGTGTGTGTGTGTCTGCGGAGCAGCTGGCTCAGCCTCAGGGACTCTCCCTGGAGAGGAGAACTGGGCATTTGTTGCTGGTTCATTAATTCATCTGAAATAGATCCATGAGACCCGCCATGCTGGGCACAGAGGCCTGGGGAGCCCATTGGGCCTGGCCCCTGTGCTTAGGGGGCCATAGTCCAGCTGCTGAGGGTTCCCAGGACAGAGGGTTGTCAGGGCTCCCAAACTCACCCACCCGAGGCCCCTGCCACACCACCAGGAGGGCCTGCTGTCCCCCACTCTGCTGTGCAGTCTGTGTCTTACCCGTTTTGGGTGTTTACATCTCCATTTGCTTACCTGATGTCTCCTTGGTGACCTGATGGGTGACAGCAAGGAAGTCAGGAGAGACGTGGCTGTTGTGGAAACTGAGGCCCAGAGAGGTGCAGGGGCCCTCCCAGGGTCACACAGTTAGTGAGTGCCAGGGCCAGGGCTAGAACCCGGGTCTTCCCACTCCTTGCCAGGGCTCTCTGGAATCCCGAGCAACTGAGAAGTGCTCTGATGGGCACTTTCCTCTCTCTGGGGATGGGAGGCGGAGGGGGTGGGGGTGGGGACTGCAGGGAACTGGGGGAAAGGTGAATCAGGAAACCATCAGCTCCCCCAAGAGACGTTCCCACCACAGTGTAAGCGGAGACCCTGGGTCCCAGCTCTGCCGCCTGCTGGTCTGTGATCAGGGCCAGGGCATGTCCCGTCTCTGGGCATCTGTAGGGTGAACAGGCTGTACTCTCAGTGCCCTTCTGCTTTGGCATGGGTGGATCGATTCCCACACTTGTGCTAGTGCCCACTAGACAGTCTGAGGATTCTCTCCTTTCCTGGGTCCCCAGCATCTAGAACAGTGCCAGGCTCATAGCAGGTGTCCAATAAACAGTCACTCTTGAGCAATCAGACATTCCTGGGCACTACTGGCAGCCAGGCAGGCCTGTGCTGGGCTGTGGGTCAGGCAGTGTCCCTGGGCTGGTGGCCCAGAGGGCCCCCAAGCCAGTGGGTGGGTTGGGGGAGTGCGGGGCTATAATCAGGGAGAGCTTCCTGGATGGGGCAGCCCTGGGCCAACTGCTTCAGGAGGAGGAGGAGTTAGGAGCTGTTGAGAGTCCAGAGGAAGGGGTGGAGGGTGAAGGAAGCCCCCACTCACCCACCCCTGGCCTTTCTCCCACCAGAAGTGGCTCTCTTCGCCCTTCCCCTCATCGTCCTTCAGCCCTGGCGGCCTGGCACCTGAGATCTCGCCACTAGAAGTGCTGGAGAGGGACAAGGTGACGCAGCTGCTCCTGCAGCAGGACAAGGTGCCTGAGCCCGCATCCTTAAGCAGCAACCACTCGCTGACCAGCTGCTTCACCAACCAGGGTTACTTCTTCTTCCACCTCCCGGATGCCTTGGAGATAGAGGCCTGCCAGGTGTACTTTACTTACGACCCCTACTCAGAGGAAGACCCTGATGAGGGTGTGGCCGGGGCACCCACAGGGTCTTCCCCCCAACCCCTGCAGCCTCTGTCAGGGGAGGACGACGCCTACTGCACCTTCCCCTCCAGGGATGACCTGCTGCTCTTCTCCCCCAGTCTCCTCGGTGGCCCCAGCCCCCCAAGCACTGCCCCTGGGGGCAGTGGGGCCGGTGAAGAGAGGATGCCCCCTTCTTTGCAAGAAAGAGTCCCCAGAGACTGGGACCCCCAGCCCCTGGGGCCTCCCACCCCAGGAGTCCCAGACCTGGTGGATTTTCAGCCACCCCCTGAGCTGGTGCTGCGAGAGGCTGGGGAGGAGGTCCCTGACGCTGGCCCCAGGGAGGGAGTCAGTTTCCCCTGGTCCAGGCCTCCTGGGCAGGGGGAGTTCAGGGCCCTTAATGCTCGCCTGCCCCTGAACACTGATGCCTACTTGTCCCTCCAAGAACTCCAGGGTCAGGACCCAACTCACTTGGTGTAGACAGATGGCCAGGGTGGGAGGCAGGCAGCTGCCTGCTCTGCGCCGAGCCTCAGAAGGACCCTGTTGAGGGTCCTCAGTCCACTGCTGAGGACACTCAGTGTCCAGTTGCAGCTGGACTTCTCCACCCGGATGGCCCCCACCCAGTCCTGCACACTTGGTCCATCCATTTCCAAACCTCCACTGCTGCTCCCGGGTCCTGCTGCCCGAGCCAGGAACTGTGTGTGTTGCAGGGGGGCAGTAACTCCCCAACTCCCTCGTTAATCACAGGATCCCACGAATTTAGGCTCAGAAGCATCGCTCCTCTCCAGCCCTGCAGCTATTCACCAATATCAGTCCTCGCGGCTCTCCAGGGCTCCCTGCCCTGACCTCTTCCCTGGGTTTTCTGCCCCAGCCTCCTCCTTCCCTCCCCTCCCCGTCCACAGGGCAGCCTGAGCGTGCTTTCCAAAACCCAAATATGGCCACGCTCCCCCTCGGTTCAAAACCTTGCACAGGTCCCACTGCCCTCAGCCCCACTTCTCAGCCTGGTACTTGTACCTCCGGTGTCGTGTGGGGACATCCCCTTCTGCAATCCTCCCTACCGTCCTCCTGAGCCACTCAGAGCTCCCTCACACCCCCTCTGTTGCACATGCTATTCCCTGGGGCTGCTGTGCGCTCCCCCTCATCTAGGTGACAAACTTCCCTGACTCTTCAAGTGCCGGTTTTGCTTCTCCTGGAGGGAAGCACTGCCTCCCTTAATCTGCCAGAAACTTCTAGCGTCAGTGCTGGAGGGAGAAGCTGTCAGGGACCCAGGGCGCCTGGAGAAAGAGGCCCTGTTACTATTCCTTTGGGATCTCTGAGGCCTCAGAGTGCTTGGCTGCTGTATCTTTAATGCTGGGGCCCAAGTAAGGGCACAGATCCCCCCACAAAGTGGATGCCTGCTGCATCTTCCCACAGTGGCTTCACAGACCCACAAGAGAAGCTGATGGGGAGTAAACCCTGGAGTCCGAGGCCCAGGCAGCAGCCCCGCCTAGTGGTGGGCCCTGATGCTGCCAGGCCTGGGACCTCCCACTGCCCCCTCCACTGGAGGGGTCTCCTCTGCAGCTCAGGGACTGGCACACTGGCCTCCAGAAGGGCAGCTCCACAGGGCAGGGCCTCATTATTTTTCACTGCCCCAGACACAGTGCCCAACACCCCGTCGTATACCCTGGATGAACGAATTAATTACCTGGCACCACCTCGTCTGGGCTCCCTGCGCCTGACATTCACACAGAGAGGCAGAGTCCCGTGCCCATTAGGTCTGGCATGCCCCCTCCTGCAAGGGGCTCAACCCCCTACCCCGACCCCTCCACGTATCTTTCCTAGGCAGATCACGTTGCAATGGCTCAAACAACATTCCACCCCAGCAGGACAGTGACCCCAGTCCCAGCTAACTCTGACCTGGGAGCCCTCAGGCACCTGCACTTACAGGCCTTGCTCACAGCTGATTGGGCACCTGACCACACGCCCCCACAGGCTCTGACCAGCAGCCTATGAGGGGGTTTGGCACCAAGCTCTGTCCAATCAGGTAGGCTGGGCCTGAACTAGCCAATCAGATCAACTCTGTCTTGGGCGTTTGAACTCAGGGAGGGAGGCCCTTGGGAGCAGGTGCTTGTGGACAAGGCTCCACAAGCGTTGAGCCTTGGAAAGGTAGACAAGCGTTGAGCCACTAAGCAGAGGACCTTGGGTTCCCAATACAAAAATACCTACTGCTGAGAGGGCTGCTGACCATTTGGTCAGGATTCCTGTTGCCTTTATATCCAAAATAAACTCCCCTTTCTTGAGGTTGTCTGAGTCTTGGGTCTATGCCTTGAAAAAAGCTGAATTATTGGACAGTCTCACCTCCTGCCATAGGGTCCTGAATGTTTCAGACCACAAGGGGCTCCACACCTTTGCTGTGTGTTCTGGGGCAACCTACTAATCCTCTCTGCAAGTCGGTCTCCTTATCCCCCCAAATGGAAATTGTATTTGCCTTCTCCACTTTGGGAGGCTCCCACTTCTTGGGAGGGTTACATTTTTTAAGTCTTAATCATTTGTGACATATGTATCTATACATCCGTATCTTTTAATGATCCGTGTGTACCATCTTTGTGATTATTTCCTTAATATTTTTTCTTTAAGTCAGTTCATTTTCGTTGAAATACATTTATTTAAAGAAAAATCTTTGTTACTCTGTAAATGAAAAAACCCATTTTCGCTATAAATAAAAGGTAACTGTACAAAATAAGTACAATGCAACAAAATAGTGTTGATATTCATTGCCTGCGGTAAACCTGTTGTCTCTTAAAGGGGAAATGAGAAGCTGCTGGGGAGCTGTCGAAGACATCCCAGGGCCAAATGCAAACTTCCTCCTTGAGAGAAAGGAAAAGGATTGTAAAGGGAATATCTTTTTCACTAATAGGAGTCAGGACTGTCTGTCTTATTCTGTGTCCAGGTATCAGCTCATGGCCATATCCCACAAGTCTATGCCTGGGGAAATATTGCACTTGATGACGAATCTCTCTCTCTCTCCTCTCTCTCTCTCTCTCTCTCTCTCTCTCTCTCTCTCTCTCTCTCTCTCTCTCCCCCCCCCTCTATCCCCCTCCCTCCAGATAGGTAGATAGATGATAGATAGATAGTGTCCTGATAAAAGTTGGACCAGACCAGGGATGGCAATTCCTGGCATTCATAAAGCCACACTCATGGCAGACATTACTAATCAATTGCACCCATGCACGGCAGACATTTCTAATTGAACACAGCTCTCCTCCTGCAGAGCCTGGGTGCAGCTTCAGATTCTGCAATGCTGCGCTATAGGCAGCCCCCAGTTGGTCACAGCTGATAGCTGATGACATCTCTGGACCGCATAATTCCTCAGGTTCCTAACACAAAAGGAGCTCTTAGGTTTCCCAACTCCGATTTCCCAGGCAGGGAAAACTGAAGCTGAGAGGATGGAGACTGGAAAGCTGAGAGGGACCTGTGAGAGGCAAGCCCAGGGAGCCCAGCTGTCCCCACCATGTCTGGTGAGAGACTTGAGCTGGCAGGGAGCAGAGTCAGGGCCACCTTATACCGGGTGCAGATGAAGGGATGGGCCAGCGGTCACTGTGTGTCATGCCCAGTGTGGATCCGAGTGTGGATCTTGGGAGAGGAGACAAAGAGGAAGCAGCTGGCGGCAGGGGTGGTGGTCAGATTGCAGGAGGGGCCTGGGTCAGATTCAGGAGACAGGAGCGGCACCAGCTGGGGACCGGGCAGCCGCTGGGGCCCTGGAGAACCGTCAGGTACAGAGCGGGAAGCAGGAGGCAGCCAGGGCAGATCTTGGGGGTAAGAGAAAAAGGAGGAGAGGTGGGGGGAGGGGGGGGCCTTCCAGCCTCTCATGTTTCCTCTTTGTTGAACTAGGTTTGTTATTTTGCTTCCTCCGTTCCCCCACCTCCCATCTCTCATTCGAAGCAACTTCAGGTGCCTGCATTTCCCAAGTAAATTATGGTGGAAACTGTAGGCCCAGGTCCAGGATGAAGCACCCACCACTGTCCTCCTCATTACTGACAGCTGAAAAAACAGACCAAGGAGGACAGTAAGAAGGGGCAAGAGAACCAATACTTCCACTCTACACATTGTGCCAGCATGGCCTGGGCGTCATCTCTCATCATCTGGAAACAACCTTGAGAAGCAGGTGCTTTATTCCCCATTTTGCTGATTAGGAAACAGGCCCAGGGAGGTGGAGCAACGCAGCTGATGGTTGGTAGCATCAGGATTCAAACTCAGGTACATCTGACTCCGGAGCTTTTGGCCCTTAGCATACAGAAGGCTACATAGGAGATAATTATACTAATGGGAAAATACCTGGTAAAATTTCATTCTAAGCTTCCTGGCAGTCAACTTCGGGGGGAAAATAAGATGCCATGATCCATTAGTGTGATTGTGGGAGAAAAAGCAAAGCCCTTTGATAGTTTGGCAGGTAGATGGGGCTGAACGGTGGCCAGGAGAGAAGGCTGAGGGCGATGCTGGTTGGTCAGGCCGAGGTGGTCTTACCTCCTCCTCCTCCGTAACTGCTGAGCCCCTCCTACTGCCTCCACCCTCCAAGCTGGTCCAGTGTCCCTCTGGGCCAGCATTTCACTGGCTTCTCCCACCCCCACCCTGGTGACCTCCGTGCCACAGACCTGACGCCATCACCTCTCACTCGTATGCCTGCTCAGCCTCCTCCTCGGTCTGCCTGTCCCCACAGCCGCCTGCCCCTCTGATCCTTCCACCTCTGAGCCCTGCCAGGCTGATCTGGCTAAAGGTCGTATCTGGCCACACCACATCCTTGCTAAACCTCCAGTGACCCACTGTCATTTTCAGGATAATGGCTGAGGTCCTTAATGTGATCGTCCATGGCTTGGGGGACTTTGGGGAGGTCCCATCTGCTCTTATGCCTCAGTTGCCCCATCTGTGAATTGGGCAGGCAGATTGGATGATTTCTAAGTGCTCTCCTAGCCCTGACATTCTGTGGTTCCAGGTGCCACATGGAATATGGCTTAAGGCCTGGGCTACATGTATTTTACATCAAGAGTTCACGCTGGGGTTGGGGGGTGGGGATGAGAGTAGGGATTGCAACTGACTCATTTGCTTGGCACCTGCTGATCCCTGGGTTTGAAGTAGCCCTGCCCTGCCACCCAAGCTATCTACCCTCAGGTTCCTATGCATCCCTCAGAACCCCACTCAAGCATCTCTGCTTCTGGCAGGCCCTCTGATTTGCCCCCAAGTAGAGTAGATTACTTCCTCCTACTGTCCCCCTCCTGAGCTACCTCTGTTATAACCAACTGTTGTGCCGTGGGTCAGAGCCTGGGCTAGATTCTGGGGATCTAAGGGTGATACTAATAGCTTTGGAAGAACATCAGGTAGAGCCCCGTTAGCTCAAGACTTTAGTCAGAAAAGCCAGGCACAAGAAGACTCTGAAAGGACCTTCTAATTGGGGAAGGAGGGTGGAATGTTGGGTGGAGCTTTAGCAAGGGGGCTCAACTGGAACTCAGCTAGTTTTGGTTATAGTTGATTGAGGATGGTGCTTGGAAGAGAGAGGAATTGTTCTTGCAGATTAGCAGCCACTATTTGACAATTTGGGCTTTATCAACAGGCAGTGGGGGAGGGACAGCTTTGGGGTCAAGGATCTGTGAGAGCCACTGTGGAATGTTCTCGGTCCTTCAAAGTCTTCGAGAACTGCATGTATTGAGCACTTAGATGCGTCAGACTCTGTTATAAGCACATTGATCCTTCCACTCTCTGGAAGCATCCTTAACTCACTGGATCCTTAAGCAAATGCCATGAGGGAGGTACTATTCTTAGCCCATTTTATAGCTGAGCCTATGGCTCAGAGTGGCCAAGTGACTTACCCATGATCACACAGCTAGAATGTAGTGGAGCAAGTTGAACCCAGGCAATATTTAGCACCCACATGGCACAGCTTCTTACAGCTTCTAAAGGGTGTGCACCCCTGGTATCCCACACAAACACACAGTGACCTACCAAGATAGGAATGACAGAGGTTCTAAGTCTTGTTCCTCAGTAGAGGCCCAGAGGCCCTGAGGGGATGGCGGTGCCGTGTCCCGGGCCACACAGTGCGTTTGGTAGTGGGGGAGGGAGTGTTGATTAAATTTGAGCTCACCACCAGCACCTGTGACAGGCCTGGGACATCCCCTAGGCTGACTTGCTTAGAGACATTTTCCACCACCAGGGCTATGACACACTCGAGGCTCCCATCACAGAGCCTGGCAGAAAGTGAGGCAGGAAGCGCTGAGTGGTGAGAGACGCAGGTCGGGTAGTGGAGGGGGGAGTGCCCAGTCTACGATTCCAGGAAGCCAGGATGCAGACGGAGGGAGGAGCAGAGCTGGCAGACAATGTCTCATCTCCCATTCCTCTATTTACCTGGCCTCATGCTGGGCACTGGCCACAGAGAGGAGGCCGGCTACTGCTCTGTCCACAAAGAGTCTCCAACCTTGTCTGGGAGGGAGTGACTCTGGAGGACACATACAAGTAGACCAGCTGATCACAGCCCTCCTTCGGTGTGGAAGAAAATCAACCCGGTCCTGTGAGCACAAGCCTTGATCAGGAAATGGTGCCAGTGAACACTCTGGTGGAGTCTTCTAACCTGGGGAGGAATTGTGGAATGCCGTGCGGGGCTTTAGCAAGAGAGGCTGAGCCAGAGTTCAGGTAGTTTTGGATAGCTGCTTGAGGATGGTTCTTAGAAGAGGAAGGAATTGTTCATTCATTCATTTATTCATTCAACAGACATTTAGGAGGGCCTAGTACCTGCAAGTCACGGTGTTGGGGATCCAGCAGCGAGCAAAGCCCCCTTCATTCTACACTTTCAGCCTTTGTGGACACCTTGGGGCAGTGTGGCATAGTGGTTATAGCCTTAACTCTGGAGCCCCGCAGCCGGGTTAAGTACTGGCCCCCTCACTCTGGAGCCCCGCAGCCGGGTTAAGTACTGGCCCCCTCACTCTGGAGCCCCGCAGCCTGGGTTAAGTACTGGCCCTGCTGCCTATCAGCTGTGACTTTGGACAAATACCTAAGCTTCTCCGTGCCTCAGTTTTCTCATCTGTAAAAGGGGACAATACCAGGACTGTTGTGAGGATGAAAGAAATAATTGAATGTGGCAGGGTGCTGTGGCTTGCACCTGTAATCCAGCACTTAGGGAGGTCCAGGTGGGAGGATCCCTTGAGCCCAGGAGTCCAAGACCAGCCTGGCTAACATGGTGAGACCCTGTGTCTACAAAAAATATATACAGAAAATTAGCCGGGCATGGTGGTACATACGTGTAGTCCTAGCTACTAGGGAGGCCGAGGTGGGAAGATCCCTTGAGCATAGGAGATTGAGGCTGCAGTGAGCATTGATCGTGCCACTGCACTCCAGCCTGGGCAACAGAGTGAGGCCCTGTTACAAAAAAAGAAGTAAGTTAATGTAAAGTACTTAGGAGAGAAGAGCTAGCCGTGGGAGAGACAGACAGAGACAGGGCTGTGACCAGGGCAGCCAGGGGCCAGAGATGTGGAAGCTGCTGACTTGCTGGCTGGCCTTTTGGATACTCTGTTGCTGTGTTGGTGATGGCTGTTTGGGGCAGGGGATGAGCTGGACACCTGCAGGCTTGGTGTCTCCTGCCACCTCCCTGCCCTTTCCAACCTCCTAATCCTGACAGCTCATCTCCCTCAAGCACCTGGGTAGGTCTTGGGGGATGATGGTTTGAGATAAGGCCCAAATCTATGATGACAAGATTCTAGGAGGTGTGACAAATGCTGAAGGAAACCTATGAGGTCTTCTTCCTACCTCTCAAATCCAGCCGTGCTGGCTGCCACCCGCCTAGCTCAGGGCCGAGGACATTTTGTCCCTCCCAATTCTGTACCACTTGGCCCCTTTGAGCCTCAGTCTCTTCATCTAAAATGGGGTGAAGAAGTGAAATTTCAAAGGCCGGGTGCGGTAGCTCACTCCTGTAATCCCAGCACTTTGGGAGGCCAAGGTGGGTGGATCACCTGAGGTCAGGAGTTTGAGACCGGCCTGACCAACATGGTGAAACCCCATCTCTACTAAAAATACAAAAAAATTAGCTGGGCATGGTGGCCTGCGCCTGTAGCCCCATCTACTCAGGAAGCTGAGACAGGAGAATCACTTGAACCCAGGAGGCGGAGGCTGCAGTGAGCTGAGATCGCGCCACTGCACTCCAGCCTGGACAACAGAGTGAGACTCTGTCTCAAAAAAAAAAAAAGAAAAAAAAAAAAGATAGCCCACCCTGTGCCCAGTAACTACTGCTCATTCATTCTAATCTATTTATTGAGCTTCTACTATGTGCACTGGACTGTTCAAATTGGACATTTCGGTTTGAGAGAGCTCGGGTTGCTTGGAACGGGCTTGATGGTGGGTGGCTGGCCGTCCCCGGCCAACGGTCCAGTGATTCTCGTAACAGTGGGTGTAGGAGAGCACCCGTTACACTGTCAGTCCGAGCAATCAGCCAGGAACGGTACATGTTGGCGAGAGAATTCTATTGCTTGTAATTTATGCAAATATGAAACTAACAATGAAACCTTTGCTGCTGGGATCCCAAACTCAGATGCTGACAGGGACTGGGGTTTGGGTAGATATTAGCTGCAGTGATGAAATGCTGATGGTGTACACCCAGTAGATGCGGGCCCCGTTCTAAGTTCCTCACACAGGTTCTGTCAATCTTCACAACACTTAGGCTTACTGTCTCATTTTCTATATGAGGAAATGAAGGCCCAGTAAAATCAAATACCTTGTAGCTCAAGGGCATGTGGCCAAATAAGTGGTGGAGCCAGGACTCAAACTCAGGCTCCTGACTCTAGTAACTCTTTTTAACCCATGCAGTGTGATACAATAGGGAGTGGTGAGGTCTGTGTCAAACCGAAATTGCTCCAGGGCAGCCATCGCTGATTGTTGCCATGTTGGGGATCAGCTAGGTCATCTACTTTTTTTTTTTTTTTTAAGACAGAGTTTCACTCTTGTTGCCTAGGCTGGAGTGCAATGGCGTGATCTCAGCTCACCGCAACCTCAGCCTCCCGGGTTCAAGCGATTCTCCTGCCTCAGCCTCCCGAGTAGCTGAAACTACAGGCACGCACCACCACGCCTGGCGAATTTTGTATTTTCAGTAGAGACGGGGTTTCTCCACGTTGGTCAGGCTGGTCTTGAATTCCCGACCTCAGGTGATCCGCCCGCCTCCACCTCCCAAAGTGCTGGGATTACAGGCCTGAGCCACTGCGCAGGCCTGATCTTCTACATTTTTAAGAGAAGCTGAAAATTCAGTTTTTCCTGCAAAGTGTCCTTATTTTTAAATATTGGCCACTCATCTTTTAAAAACAGAAAACAAGCAAGCCAAGCAAAATGTGTCTGCACGGTAGAGAGGGAGGGAGAAAGGAAGAGCATCCTGCGGGATTTATTGTAAAGATCACTTCTTCCTGACCCCAGGTGTGCTGGCTGCTCCGTGCCCCCACCCCCTGCTTGCTGAGCTCAGCTGCAACTCTCTCCAGTTAACGATCCTCGATCCTCCGTGATCCATCCATTATTGAATCCCAGCACCTGCCACAGGTTGTTCGTTGAATGGATGTGTAGGTTGGTAAATGGGCAAAGGGGAGGAGGGAAAAAGGAAAAGGAGAAAGGAAGGAAGGAAAGGTGGGAGGGGAAGTTACTTAGAGGCTTTGAAAACCTGGAATGACCAAGGTTCTGAGAAACCAACGTGGAGGGAAGAGGCAACAGAGCCGACTGGTATCAGGAGCTCTCTCGGGCCCACCAAGTCAACAGCTGTCTGACACAGATGACCAAGGAGAATAGAGGTACTCGGGGAACCTGAGTGAGTGCTGGGGTCTTCCCATGAAAGGGCAGCAGGAAAGAGCCTCCTTGGGGAAATTTAGGTGTCTGTGACCTTGGACAGGGCCCCCTTCAAGGGCAAGAGCTAGTCCCACAAACCGGACTGTCTTTAGAGGAGGCTCTGCCTGCAATGTTTTGAGGCAAAAAAAAAAAAAAAAAAAAAAAAGTTGAAAATTGCAATTTTGTGTCCTTTGGAAATTTTTGTTGACTCTCTGCCTAAAGCCTTATGTATATGGAAATAAGTAATATTGTTCTTTTGTTTTAGTTTTTAGAATTCATTTTTGGACAGTATACTGGGAAGAGTACAGGCTGGGAATCAGGTCACCTGGGTTCCAGTCCCAGCCCTGCCTCAGCATTGCTGTGCAACCTTGGGTAGTCTCCACCCACTCTCTGGGTCTGGCTCCCTGATGTGGTTTGGCTGTGTCCCCACCCAAATCTCATTTCAAATTGTAGCTTCCATCATCCCCACGTGTAGTGGGAAGGACCAGGTGGGAGGTAATTGAATCATGGGGGCAGGTTTTTCCCATGCCGTTCTTGTGATAGTGAATAAGTCTCATGAGCTCTAATGGTTTTGTAAAGGACAGTTCCCCTGCACACACTCTTGCCCGCCACCATGTAAGACGTGCCCTTACTCCTCCTTTGCCTTCTGCCATGATTTTGAGGCCTCCGCAGCCATGTGGAACTGTGAGGCCATTAAACCTCTTTTTCTTTATAAATTACCCAGTCTTGGGTATTTTTTCATAACAGCATGAAAATGGACTAATATAGTCCCCCTATCTGTTCTGGGAGCCCCACCTGCTACAATCCCACAGTGGAGGAGAAGGTCAGGCTGAGTGATGCATGCAGAGTTTCCATTCTGTGTCCCCAAGGTGGCTTGAAGCAGCCCCTCCCAAACCCCAAACCCCTGATCAGCATCTGTACCCCGACTGCCCATCTGGGAAAGAAGCGACTGGGCATGCCAGGGCCTGGTGGTGAGTTTGTCCTAGCAGCATCTTCAGACAGAGGCCAGAGGCCAGGACCCAGGGCTGAGACAGAGGCCGAGGGCTCAGGAGTGGTGGTGTGGGCAGTGGGAAGGAACACAGAGACAGGAGAAGGTGTCACTGGGAAGGACAACTGGCTCTGAAGCCAGAGGGTCCTGGGTTTGAATCCAGCTCCTAGCACTTCCTGACTGTGTGACATCAAGCAAATCACTGCTCTGAAACTCCACTTTCTCACCTCAGATGGGTGAAGTGACCATTTTTCTTATTGGAGATCAGGCCTATCCTGGGTCTGGTTAGCTGTATTGTAAGCCATAGATTATTCTAAGCCTTAGGATCCTTAAATCCCTGTACAGATGGAGGAAGACAAGCCACAGAGATGGGGACTCCTGAGAGGTCCCACACCTGTTGGTGACAGGCCATTCTGGTGGATTCTTATTCCTCCAAGCACATAAGAAGCATCTCCATGTACTGCTGAGGGTCCTGTCCTCCACCGGGTGCTGTCACGTGGTGGGCGGGGCCAAGTGCCTGCCAAGCTTCTGTCCCACTGTCTGTTTCCCTAGGCTTGGCAGCTTTCTTCAAGGGCAGCAACTGAGACTTGTTCTATTTCTTTTACATCTTTGTTCTTGTTCTTTCTTTTTTCTTTTTTTGAGATGGAGTCTTGCTCTGTCGTCTAGGCTGGAGTGCAGTGGTGGATTTCGGCTCACTGCAACCTCTGCCTCCTAGGTTCAAGAGATTCTCCTGCCTCAGCCTCCCGAGTAGCTGGGACTATAGGCGCCTGCCACCACTCCCAGCTAATTTTTTTGTATGTTTAGTAGAGATGGAGTTTCACTGTGTTAGCCAGGATGGTCTTGATCTCCTGACCTCGTAATCCACCTGCCTCGGCCTCCCAAAGTGCTGGGATTACAGGCGTGAGCCACTGCGCCCGGCCCCCCTCTCTTTTTATTCTTATCTAAAATCAAAGTGTTGGCAGGCTCATTCTCTCCCTGAAGGCTCTAGAAAAAAAATCTTCCTTGCTGCTTCCTAACCTCCTTACATTTTTATTTTTTTAGAGACAGGGTCTTGCCCAGGTTGGAGTGCAGTGGCAGGAGCATGGCTCACTGCAGCCTCAACTTCTTGGGCTCAAGTGATCCTCTCCCCTCAGCCTCCCGAGTAGTTGGGACTACAGGTACATGCTGCCACACTTGGCTAATGTTTGTATTTTTGTAGAGGCTGGGTCTTGCTATGTTGCCCAGGCTGATCTTGAACTCCTGGGCTCAAATATTCCTCCCACCTTGGCCTCCCAAAGTGCTGGGATTACAGGCATGAGCCACCTTGCCCAGACTCCTTATCCTTTTTATGTTATTTTTCTTGTTCTCTTTTGTGGCTGTGTTGAGGCTCAACACCAATCAAATGAACGAACAAGTGAATTGCAGTAGGGACACCGTGCATTGGAAAGAGATGGCAGAGGTGGCCTCTGGGGACCCTGCCTAGGTGGCCTCAGAAAAGTTGCATCTATTGAGCAGTTCAGGCTTTAGAGGCCTGTGGGAGGTGGAAGGAAGCAGGTCATAACTGTGATTTTGGGGGAGGAGAGTAAGATGGTGGTAGCTCAGGTGTAGGGAGAGGACACACTTCAGAAGTGACTTGAGGACTCATGGTCATGTGGAACCTTTGGGACACTTGTCCACAGCATTGTCAACAGCCAGCCTGCCCCTGCCTGCCTCACCCTGCTTAATATGGGCTGGATTGTGTCACCCCAAAAGATACATTGAAGGCCTGACCCTTTAACCTATGAATGTGACCTCATTTGGAAATAGGGTCTTTGCAGATGTGAAGAAGATGAAGTCCTTAGGGTGGACCCTAATCCAGCATGGCTGGTGTCCTTTAAAGCAGAGGAGAAGAGGCATGGAGCCACGCACAGGGAGAAAGCCATGAGATGGCAGAGGCAGAGTTTGGAGTGACGCTGTCACAAGCCAAGGCACACCAGGGATCGCCAGCAACCACCAAAGCCAGGAAGAGGCAAGAAAGACCCTCCCTTGGAGACTTCAGGGAGGGCGTGTGGCCCTGCTGCCACCTTGAGTTTGGACTGCCCGCCTCCAGAACTGGGAGAGAATAAGTGGCCGGTTTTTTCTTTTTGTTGTTGTTGTTTTTGAGATAGAGTCTCACTCTGTCACCCGGGCTGGAGTGCAGTGGCTTGATCTCAGCTCACTGCAACCTCTGCCTCCCGGGTTAAAGCGATTCTCCTGCCTCAGCCTCCTGAGTAGTTGGGATTACAGGTGCCCACCACTATGCCCAGATAATTTTTTGTATTTTTAGTAGACATGGGGTTTCACCATGTTGGCCAGGCTGGTCTCGAACTCCTGACCTCCTGATTCTCCCGCCTCAGCCTCCCAAAGTACTGAGATTACAGGCGTGAGCCGGCGCACCTGGCCGTGTCTGTTGTTTTGAGCCACCCTATTGGTGGCAGTTTGTTTTGGCAGCACTGGGAAGCTCATACCCTGCCCTGGAGCCCAGAGGAGCCCCATGCTTCCAGCCACCGTCTAGACAGCGTCTGGCTGGAGCACACAGAGCCCGCCCCTCACCTCCTCACCACAGACCCTGGGCCTCCCCTGTAGGTTTCAGAGAGAGGCTCGGCTCAGCAAAGAGTAGAGAAGGTGGTAAGGTATTTCCCACAGCAGCCTCCTTGAGCTCTGAGACGTGGCTAGCCCACAGGACAGGAGGATGAGGAGAGGGTGGCCCTCCTGCTATCTGATCCTTTCCTCCCACCGAGAATAGTACCATCAGTTCTTGTACTAGGACTGAACAGTGTCTCCTCAAAATTCATGCCTACACATAACCTGTGAATATGACCTTATTTGGAAATAGGGTCTTTGCAGATGGAAGCAAGTTAAAATGGGGTCCTACTGGTTTCGGGTGGGGCACAAATCCATGATGACTGATGTCTTTATAAAGTGTGTGCAATTGAACACTGAGACACACACACAAGGAAGAAGCTCGTGCTATGATGGAGGCAGAGATTGGAGCGTTGCACCTCCAAGCCAGGAAACACCAAGAATTGCCAGAGGACCGAAAGCTAGCAAGAGACAAGGAGGGATTTCTTTTCTAGAGCCTCTGGAGAGGCAATGAGCCTACCAACACTTTGATTTCAGACATCTGGCCTCAGAGCTGTGAAGGAACAAATCCCTGTTGTTTTAAGCCACCCAGTTTGGGGTCATCTGTTATGGCAGCCCCTGGAAACAGCGACACCCCCCATCAAAGAGACCAGGCTGGAGTCTATGTTCCACCTGCAGTGGGTGGCGGGACCCGGGGCAGGTGAACTTCTCCTTTCAGATCCTCAGTCTCCTCTTCTGCTCAGTGGAGACCCATATTCCCACTCTGAAGCCTAGATTTGTGGCATCATTGTGATCGACTGTGTGGAGGGCCCAGCTGTCAAAATCCTTACTGTGTTATCATCAAAGGAGTTAACAGTAACTGTCATTTGTTCACTCAACAAATATTTATTCCTCCTGTGTGCCAGGCACTGTTCTAGGCTAAGAGTGTTGAGGGAGTGGGACCGACAACTTGCAAGATTGAGAAATCTTCATGGGACTCACAGTCAAAAGGGGGTGGGGAGAATAGGGAAAGAAACAAGTAGACCCCAAACTGGAAAATTTCGGAGAACAAGTGCTGTGACTTGGGGGTTTGTGTATAAGAGCTGGGTTGTTGTGTTCTTGCTTCTAGGGCTTTCTCTGAGCTCAGACAAGGTTACCCCCAATTCCGCTCTGCCTGAGCGTCCACTCCATGGCTTAAGGCATCACATGGCCTGAAGGCTCCTGATAAAAATACAGATATCTTGGCTCTTCAGTCTCTTCAGTGGACAATGAGTGAGCGCCTGCTGTTCGCAGGAGCCCGGGAGGAAGCTAGACACAGGAACAGGCTTTGCATAGCATTTACCTAATACTAGTGCAATGGGCATTGTATTCGTTGGCTAGGGCTGCCTTCACATGACCCCACACCTGAAGGGCTTGAACGACAGAAATGTGTCTCACAGTTCTGGGGGCTGGAGTCCAAGATCCAGGTGTCGGCCGGCTTGGTTCCTTCTGAAGGTATGAGGAAGAGTGTTCCAGGCTTCTCTCTTGGCGTCTGATGTCTTGCTGGCAATCAGTGGGGTTCCTTGGCTTATAGAAGCAATGCCACGTTCTCTGCCTTTACCTTCACGGCATTCCCTCTGTAGGCGTGCGTCTCTGTCTCTATATTTCCCTTTTGGATAAGGACACCAATCATACGGACGAGGAGCCCACCCTACATTTTTTTTTTTTTTTTGGCCTACAACAACCAGCTTTATCACCCACCATCCGTAGGCCATGAAGTGGTAGCTTGGGGACATCTTGTGGGTCACCAACACGTGGAGGGACTGGGATTTTGGCTGGGTCTGCCCACTCTCCAGCACCCCGCTGGATCTTGGTCACCTGAGTGTGGTGGGCACACCGAGGCCTGCTCTGCCCTGTCCTGCTGGGTCAGGCCTGTGTTCCTCGCTGTCCGGCCCCCACCATGCCCAGCCTTCAAGCCTCCCCTCATCCCCTCACCAGGCCTCCCGGAGGCTTCTTTTTCCTTGGGGACCAAGGAGGCTGAGGCTCAGTGTTAGGAATGCAGATTCCCAGAGCAACAAGGCTTCCGTTCCATCTATGTGAACGTGTCTCTTTGCTGCGAGGACAAGAGTGTCCCTTGTTGACAGAGGAAATCCCTGACTCCTTGGCAGGCTGTCCCCTACCCCCACGGCTTTCTGGGACCCTTGTCTGTGCTTTTCTCTTCTCTTCTTTCCTCTCCTTTTCTCTTTCTTTTCAAGACAGGGTCTTGCTCTGTCACCCAGGCTGGAGTGCAGCAGCACAGTTATGGCTCACTACAGCCTCCAACTCCAGGGCTCAAGTGATCCTCCCACCTCAGCCTCCCTAGTAGTGGGATCTGCAGGTGTGCACCACTATGCCCAGCTAATTAAAAAAAATTTTTTTTTGTACAAACAGGGTCTCACTATGTTGACTAGGCTGGTCTCAAACTCCTGGGCTGAAGGGATCCTCCCTCCTTGGCGTCCCAAAGTGCTGGGATTACAGGTGTGGGGGTAAGCCACTGCACCCAGCCACGTCTGTGCTTTCAAACACCTCTCTCAGCATTTTGCTGCTGCTTGCTTATTGCCAGCCCCTCCCCCCAGGCCATGTCGGATCGATGGCCAGGTGGCCGCCAGGTCTAGAGGACGTCGATTGTGCAAGATCGGCTTTTCAGACTGTCGGGCTAGCAGCCTGGGCTGGGGGCCTGGGCCTTTTGACCTTCCAAAGGACAGGATGGGGTACAGAGGCTAGGATCGGGGTGTCTTCACCCCCTACACAAACACACTATCCCTGCTCTGTCTCAAGCATCTGTCCCTCAGGAAGTTTGCAAGGTGGGGCCCAGGGCCTGGGAAGAGGGGAGTTTATGGGGAGGAGGCAGAGTTGTTGGGGCTGGGACGAGGGACAGTGGGCAGGGCTATGGTGTTCGGTCTCAGGGTCAGGGTCAGGCCCATGGGCAGGGGCCAGGACTCTGGGGAGGGCCACAGGAGAAGGTGAGGGAAGGTACCCCCTAACCCAGAATCCTAACCAGCCTGACAGTGCGCCCTCCTGCCCTGGCCCAGCCCTGGCTCTGCCTGGAGATGGTGCTGTACTGAGCTCATGCCCAGCCCCCATGGGCAGGGGCCTTCACACCTTAGGACACAGGGGTGCCCCCCACGCACATGTCAGGGAGGTACCTGCCTACTGCTACAGGCCCCCTTAGGGAGCACACGCCAGAGAGCATGGGGCATCTACGTGCTTGAGACATGCGTGAGGGGCCACACAGGTAGGCACCACACACATGCCACCTGTCATTGCCTGGACTTCAGTGCACAGGCACACCTGGCCCCGACACACCAGCGTGTCACCATGAGAAGAGGAGAAACCCGCTCTCGGCGCCCCCCACAGTGCTGGGCCTTCGCACACGTTGTTTCCCGTTCATCAAGAAGGGGCGAATTTTTTTCATTCGACAGATGGAAGAAGCACCGCTCAGAAGTCAGGGAATCTGCCCAGGTTCCTACAACTAAAAGGGAGCCAGGTAGGGCTGAAAACCGGCGGTCACGGCAAAGCCCGGGCGCGGGGCCCTGTCCCATCCCAGCCAATCCATAAGCATCTCACACTTCACACCCGCTGCACACTCCACTCACACGCCTCACACTCCACACATGCCTCACGCTCCACACACACCTCACACTCCACACACGTCTCACACTACACACACGCTTCACACTCCACACATGCTTCACACTACATACACCTTACACTACACACACACCTCACACTATGCACACACCTCACACTAAACACATGCCTCATATTCCACACATACTGTGAGCATGCACACACACACACACACAGCTGCACACACCTCTCATGCTCCATACACACCTCACACCATACGTACCTCAAAGACACACACACCTTACACTGCACATTCCCAGCACCCACACTGCACACACATGCACAGTCCATATGCCCACACAACACACTTCACACACCCCCCACCCCACACCATACAAACCTCACAGACACACCTCTCACACAAATCTTATACCCCACACACAATCCCTACGCTCCACACACACACACACACACACACACGCACATTCTACACATACATAATCTACACACACAAATTCCAGACTGTCTCTCTTACACACACACTCTGGGACCCATATGCCCACAGCACACAGCATCTCAGGCGTGCACCCCGCATTCTGGCCTCAGGATGTAGACTCGCTGAAAGTCAGCCTTGTCTGAGACAGACGCCCGCTGCCCTGCACGCACCCTAGAAAGCCCTGGCTCCCATCCGGCACTTCGGCACGCATATGGCTCAAACCCATCTCCACAGCAACGCTGTTCCATAGAACAACAACGCAGGTCACACTTGTGACTTAACCTGTCTAATATCCACATGCAACAAGGGGTGTGGTGGCCCGCGCCTGTAATCCCAGCTACTTGGGAGGCTGAAGCAGGAGGATCATGTGGGCCCAGGAGCTCCAGACCAGCCTGGCAACCTAATGAGACCCTGTCTCTGAAAAAAAAAAAAACAAGAGAGCCAGAAGAAAATTGCTTTTAATAATACATTTTATTTATCCCATGATCACCAGTGTTATTTCAACATAAAATCAATATAAAAATTGTTATCGCGTTGGTTGACATCCTGTTTGCACTTGGCCTTGGAAACCTGGTGTGCGTCTCCCCCGTGCAGCTTTTCTCAGTTCAGACTGACTCAAGAGCCACGGGTGACCAGCGGCTACCGTCATGGACAGCACAGCGCTACGGAACCAGGTAGGAATTCATGCTGCGTGCGGTCGCTCATGCCTGTAATCCTAGCGTTTTGGGAGGTCGAGGTGGGTGGAATCACTTGAGGTCAGGAGTTCGAGACCAGCCTGGCTAACATGGTGAAACCCCATCTCTTCTAAAATTATGAAAATTAGCCGGGCATGGTGGTGGGCGCTGTAATCCCAGCTACCTGGGAGGCTGAGGCAGGAGAATTGCTTGAACCCGGGAGGCGGAGGTTGCAGTGAGCCGAAATCACACCACTGCACTCTAGCCTGGGTGACGGAGTGAGACTCCATCTTAAAAAAAAAAAAAAAAAAAAAAAAGAACGAGGTAGGAATTCAAATAATTCCCAGCTAAACAGAAAATAGCATCAAACCCCACCCCTGCCTCCCCTTTCTCCTCTCCAGTCCCCAGAGTATATGGGCCCAGCCTCCTTTTCTCTCTCTCAGGCCAGCAGCTCCTTTAGTCTCGCCTGTCCAGGTAAGCACCTGGACTCACCCTTGTGAGCCCCTGCACTCACCTGCACCGGCCTCTGCACAGTCCCCAGTCCTTGGCTGTCCCTACCTCATGCTCTCGGGGACCAGGGGCTGTAACCAGGCAGGCATGTCACCAGGCAACGGGCCTCGGGGGAGAGCTCAGATCTCCCGCACCTGCCTGCCAGCCTCTGGGGTGCCCATGCGGGGGTGGGGGAAGATGGGGCGGGGCAGGCACTGCCTTCTCCTACCTCCTGCCTGTTTACCTGTACTTAGTCACAGTGCTGTCCAGGACCCAGCAGGAGGAGTTCCATGGAGCCTGAGGCCACAGGCCACAGGGGACAAGGGCCAGACACCCTGGTCATGGCTCTAGGCCATTGATCCAGCCTGGGCTGGCTGGGTGGGGGTGGGGAGGCCTTGGCCTGGACAAACAGAGGCTCCTGAGGCCTGTGTGCAGGCCCGGCACCTATCTGCCGCTCCCAAAGGTAAGCGGGGGCCTCCAGGACAGGGGACCGGGATCTATAAATGACCTAGTGACAGTGTCCACCCTAAGAGCTGGGCCTGGCTCCCTGCAGCCTGAGCCACCTACCCTGCTCCGAGGCCAGGCCTGCAGGGCCTCATCGGCCAGAGGGTGATCAGTGAGCAGAAGGTGAGGGGCCCACAGAGCTGGGGAGGGGAGGGACCACGCAGGGTGACACCAGGTGTGTGGACAGGCACAGCATCAGTGCTGGGTGGTTGGTGGCCTGGGATTCAGGTGGCAGGGACAGGAGGAAGGGAGAGGCCACCCTACCCCTGCCTCGCAGGACTGGACATGCTGCCCCCTCCACACCCGGTACCCCACCTGGGCCTTCTGGTGTAGGAGACAGGCCCGGAGCCCCACATTGCACCTATGTACTGACTTAAGCCCAGGACCCTGGGCTCACAGGCTCAGAGTTGGCATGTATGTGTATGTGTGTTCGTGTGTGTGTCTGTGTAGGAAGGGCGTGCATCTATGAATTTTTGTGTCATGAATAGATGTGCGTATATCCCTCCGCGTGTCTCCATCTGTGTACATCTGTGGGTCTGTGAGTGTGTTTATATGTGTGGAAGGGACCCCCACCCAGTCCCCCACACTCTCAGGACTCTAGGGCCTAATGGTTTCACTGAAAGATGCCCCTATGGCCCTAGCCCAGAGTCCCTGCTCTGCTCTGCTCTGCCCTGGCTGAGGGACCTCGGGTAAGTCATGTTACCTCTCTCTACCTCAGTTTCCCCAGCCATTAAATAGAGTCAGCAAAGTAGGCACCCCAGGCTGTTGGAGGCTGCAGTGGAGTTTGCAGCACTGCCCAGCACAGGGCTGGCACATGGTAGGAGTTCATACGCAGTGGTTGAATCCGGATCTGCATTGCTGGGGGAGTCGCGGCCCCGCCCCAAGGAGCTCAGCCTCCAGCAGGCAGACCCGAGACCCTCCAATGGCCAGAAGGGCAGGAGGGAGTGAGGAGCAGGTGCCAGGGTGGGGTCCATGGTGCTCAGAGCTGGGGGACTGCTTCAGGCCCCTGTGGCAATTGGAGCACAGTCCCCGCTTCCAGGAGTTCAATGTGAGGGGCAAAGAGAGAGTGCCCACAGGTAAGCTGCACATCGCGAGGGGCAGCCGCCCCTTCTAGGGCACTCTGGGAGAGCTGCGAAGAGGTGAGGTCTGAACTGAGGTGACAGGGGCTGCATAAGAGCTGGCCAGGTTGGGAGGTGGGGGCCCAGGCAGAAGGAAGAGTGTGGGGACGCCTGGCCGTGAACAAGCACTGACAGGGCTCAAGGTCCACGAGGGCTCTTGGTGCCGGCTGGCTGCTCTTAATCCATAAATGTTTGCTACCATCCCATTGTTAAAATTTCTCACCAATGGAAGTCCAGTGTCCTTGGGGTGCGACGGGGAAAAGAGAGGGTGGGAAAAAAGGAGGCAGGAGAAGTTGGCCAGGCCACATATGCACACAGCACCTTGGACTTCTGTAGGGAGGAAGGAGCTGGGACCTTGTCATTCATTCATTTAACAATTACTGAGTGTCCGCTGAGTACCAGACTCTGCTCTCATGCAGCTTACAGACAGGGAGGAGGCAGATAAATGACATATTTGCATATCAGGCAATTTAGGCCTCTGTAATTGCTATAAAGAAAAATGCAGGAGAGACGGGAGTGCCCAGGGAAGGCCTCTCTGGAGAGGTGACATCTGACCCTTTGGAGGAGGTAAAGGAGGGAGCCACGAGGCCAGCAGAAAGGAAAACATCCCAGGCCCAGCAAGGAGCAAACCTCCCATTCAGCAAAGAGGACAGGAAAACTGAGACCCTGGGTCTTTAGGGACTGTGTTCTAGGTGGATGGAAGCCGTGCGAGGCTTGTGGGCAGGGCACATGGTGACAACACGCAGTGGCCATTGTGTGAGAACTCACTGGGTAGGGGGGTGGGTGATTGGCTATTGCAGGAGTCGAGGTGACAGATGACGGTGGCCTGGATGATGGTGGGAGTCATGGGGGGCCAAGAAGGGGCTGGCTTTGGGGGGCATTTGGAAGGTAGGGCCACAGGCTTTTCCAAAGGTGCTGGACCCTGGGAATGGGGGAGCCGTTGTATTATAAGATAGTAAAGACAAGAGTGGCACCGTCATCTTCACAACTGTCCACTGCCCCTCCTCCTGCTGGGCAGGAAACCCAAGAGGATGGGAATGAGGTCTCTTAGAGTCACCATGTGCCACCCTGTCGCCACCACAGAGCCTGGCACCAAGCAGGTGCTAGACAAAGATAGGGTGACTGAGCATTGAACCTGGGACCCCACAGGCCCACACCATTGTCCATGCCCCAGTGCCAGGCCTCACAAGTCCTCCTTCCTGGAGGCAGCAAGATAGAAAGCCCTGTACCAGGGGCCTAGAGACTTGGCAGTTTCATTCACTCATTCTTTCTGATCCTTCACTCATGTGACGGGCTGTGCGGCGTTCCATGGGGAACCCCAGAGGTGAGCAAGATGCTGGCCCTGCCTGTTCTGTAGGGGACAGAGGCAAGACCCAAAGCCAAGGCATATTCTTGATCTGATCAAGGGCTGCCCAGGGGAGGGGGCAGCTTAACTAGCCAGGGGCCCAGAACCCAGTGCCTGGCAGGTCGCCTGGTAAGAGTTCCCCACAGTCCAGGCAGGGGGACTCAGCTGCACAAAGGCAGGGTCTCGTGGGCCTGGGGCACCATGTGCATGATGGAAGTTATAGCCACGAGGAGGGTGGACAGCAGCCTGGCCATGGAGGGTCTTGGATGTCGCAGCAAGGGGTTTGGATGATAAGTGGCTGGGAGCTGTGAAAGGATCCTGAGCAGGTGAGCGATTGAGCTGGGGAGGGAGGATGCGCTGGAAGACGCAATGGAGGCAGGGGACCTAGTGAGGAGGCCGCCCCAGGGGTTTGGGTGGGAAGTTATGATGAGCCCGGGGGAATTAATTTCCCACTACTGCCATTTGGACCATGGCTTGGGTTTTTACAGAGGGTGTCCTGAAAATGAGCCTCTCTGTGCTGCTCAAAGTCCTCCCAGATGGATGCGAGGGGCATTTAGAGGGAGGCAAAATCTGCATAGAGAAGGACGCCTGGCTTGGAGGATGAGAGGGGAGGGGAGGCCCACCAAGCACCCCACCATGAGCTGCCCCTCTTCGGGCTTCCTCTAATGGACCCACGACCTGCTCCGAGCCTCAGTTTCCCTCTCTTTACACTGATTATCTGAGAGGTAGTAGGGCTCAGTGATCAGGGCGTCACTCTGAAGTCAATCTGCTTGACTTTGCAGCCTGGCTGTGCTGCTGACCAGCTGTGTGACCTTAGCCAAGCTGCTCAACCTCTCTGTGCCTTGACTCTCCCATCTGTAAAGTAGGAGTGATCAGAGTACCTGTCCCCACAGGATCTGTGTAAGGCTTACATGAGAAAGTGCACATAAAGCAACAGAGACAATTGAAATAAATGTCACCTGTTACCACCTCTATGCCCCCGAGTCCCCATGGCTCTATGACTCATCCCAAAATAGCTCCTTTGTGATCCAGACTCAAGAGTAAAACAGGGCCAGGTATGGTGGCTCACATCTGTAATCTCAACACTTCAGGAGGCCAAGGTGAGGGGATCGCTTGAGGCCAGGTGTTTGAGACCTGGTCTCTACAAAAAATAAAACTATAAAATTAGCCAGGTGTGCTGGTGCACCTGTAGTCCCAGCTACTTGGGAGGCTGAGGTGGGAGGATCACTCGAACCCAGGAGTTGGAGGCTGGGGTGAGCTATGATCGTGCTACCATACTCCAGCCTGGGTGACAGAGTGAGATCCTGTCCCTTAAACAAAAGGGGTGCGACGGGAATATGGTGTCCTCCTCTGGCAGAGGGAGGGGACGAGGGACTGAAAGAAGGGCAAGGAGCCAACCCATCACCTGGGATCTTCCCAATCCAGCAAACCTTCTCAGATTTTGAGGACAGCCACCTCAGTCAGAGGTGGCCAGCCCAGGACAGACAGGCAGCTCTGCGCTGGGGACTCAAACCTGCCATGTGGCCTCATGCAAGAGTCTCAGCACCCTGTTACTGGTCTGTTTCTTGCCTGTTTCTCACTAGGGATGCTGTGAACATTTGAGGAAGTGGGCGGGGCTGTCCCACCCGTTGCCGGACGTTTACCATTTACCATTCCCTGGCCTTGGCCCCATAAAAGCCAGTAGGGCCCACTCCACATGCAGGAATGTCCTAGCTTAGTTGTGGAGGGGGATGTCATGCCCAGTGAGGGTCCCCTGCAGTCCCTCCCTTCCTTGTATCTGATGGGGGCCGCTCAACAGAGTCACTGTGGCTTGACACCAAAGACCCTTAGCTGGGAACGATGCCAAGGGGAGCTGGAGGGAGCCAGGAAGCTGGGAGAAGGGCCAGGGCCCTTCACATCCACCTGGGAGGACTTTGAGCATTACTAAAGAGCCCCGTTTTTGGAAACCCGCTGTGTAAAATCCCAAGATACAGCCCAAAGGAAGCCCCGCCTGCATCTGGGGTGCATTTTATTTATTTTTTTATGTTTTTTTTTTTCTCAAGCAGAGTCTTGCTCTGTCACCCAGGCTGGAGTACAATGGCATGATCTCAGCTCACTGCAACCTCCCCTGACCAGGTTCAAGTGATTCTCCTGCCTCAGCCTCCCGAGTAGCTGGGATTACAGGTGCCCACCACCACAGCCGGCTAATTTTTGTATTTTTCATAGTGACAGGGTTTCACCATATTGGCCAGGCTGATCTCGAACTCCTGACCTCAGGTGATCCACTCACCTCAGCCTCCCAAAGTGTTGGGATTACAGGCGTGAGCCACGGCACCCGGCCCTGGGGTGCATTTTAAAGCTACACGGTATTTATGGATATAGTAAGAGGAGATGAACTTCGCAGTAGTCTGGAGCCTTTGCTCTCCCGGTGGGTGGGTCAAAGGCTTTCTCTGTACTGTGGGGAAACCTGCGTCAAAGGCCAAATACATTGGGATGTTTGCTTGAAAGGGTCTCAAAATAGAGTTGGAACCCTGGAGCGTGGAGAGGGGCGACATTCAGTTGCTATTTAATCATGATTTGTTAATTAACAGCTCATTTATGGGAGGCATCTTAGATTCGTGGAAAAAGCAGGGAGTCAGACATCTAGACTCAACCTCCACTTCCCTGCTGTGTGATCTTGGGCAAGCGGCTTAGCCTCTCTGGGCTTCAGGGTTTTTTTAATCTGTAAAATGCGTCTGGGAGTGAATGTCAGGTATTCAAATCACACTGGGAAAATGGGGCTAGGAAAAGCCCTAGACTGAGTTAGTGCTAGAACACTCTGGGTCTCAGTTTCCTTATCTGTTCAATGGGTGCAGAACTGGAGGTTTAAGTGAGATAAAGCAGGTGAAGTACCCACGTGGTGTGGGCTGGAGGAAGAAAACATGGGACAATGGTTCCACATCCCTGGGTGACCTGAAAATTAAGTGTGAGATGTCTCATGAGGGCACGAAATGAATATTAGTTTTTGTTCCCTTCCTCTGCCACAAGACTTTGAGAGCAGAAAGGTGAGAGAGACGGTACTCTGTGAAGGAAGGCAGGTCCCCGGCCCAGCGCAGTGCCAGCTCAGGGGATTCTGGGGCGGGGGCTAAGTGCATGGACTGTGTGGGCGTGGTGGGAAGCTCCGTGAACCAGAACCAGGAGCAAGAAACAGCATTCCTTGCGTGGACGGGAAATGAGGGCAAGAGGTCAGATGTCTACAGAAGTCTGCACCCCATGTACTTCAGTTCTGTCTGTGGGTGCAGCCTCTAGGGAGGTGGGTGTTTAGGTACTGAGACCTCCGTCTGTCCTCTGACCATAGGGAAGCCAGTGGGAAGCAAAGGTGGGGTTCTTGAGCCAGACCCAGTCCAGCTCTGGTGCCTGCCCTCTGGTGCGAGCTGACCTGAGATGCACTTCCCTCCTCTGTGAGCTGTCTCGGCACCCACTTGCAGTCACTGCCGCCTGATGTTGTTACTCTTCCACTCCAAAAGGCAGGGAAGTCCTGCTTCCGTGCCCCACCGGTGCTCAGCAGAGGCTCCCTTGCAAATGCGAGGCTGTTTCCAACTTTGGTCTGTTTCCCTGGCAGGATGCCCGTGGCCGAGGCCCCCCAGGTGGCTGGCGGGCAGGGGGACGGAGGTGATGGCGAGGAAGCGGAGCCGGAGGGGATGTTCAAGGCCTGTGAGGACTCCAAGAGAAAAGCCCGGGGCTACCTCCGCCTGGTGCCCCTGTTTGTGCTGCTGGCCCTGCTCGTGCTGGCTTCGGCGGGGGTGCTACTCTGGTATTTCCTAGGTAACGTTGTGGGACCGCCTGGGAGAGGCACCTGGGGAGGACTTGGGGTGACTGTAGCAGGCACAGCAGGACAGGACTGGGTTCCAGGCTCAGCCGTGCTTAGCATATTGCTGTGTGACCTTGGGCAAGTCACTTCTGTTCTCTGGGTCTCCCTCCCTGTCCTTCCAGCTGGAGATGCTGTCAGACCCTGGCTCCAGGTCCTATGGCTCGGGTCTGCTTCCTGCTTGGGCAAAGTGCCCCAAAGCTCCCCACCAGGTGGGGAAAGTGGGCCCTCCTAGCACCCAGTTCTTGTGAGCCAGCCAGCCCACAGAGCATAAACATCGCCTTCCCTTGCCTGCAGTCCTCCTGGGTTGCCCCTGAGGCTTGGAGCCAACCCAGCCCTAAAGAAGGAGGCCCAGAGGCACCAATGGTACCTGGTACCAATTAGTGCCTCTGCTCACTTGAGCCTAGCCTAGGTTCTCCTCTAGGCTGGGGACCACAGCTCTATCCCCTCTGGGTCTCCAGGGTCCAGCATGAATGGGGGACGGAGCAGGCAGCTGGAGAGCAGCCAGCCTTGGGGCCCTCTGCCATGTCCTTAATTATGGCTGGCCCCTCCCTGATGTCACAGCCCTCAGTCAGTCCCCTGGTGCCCGGGGAGCAATTGGCCTGTGCTCTGGGCCCATTCATCCAGGCCTCCGTTCATTCATTCATGGAATAAATGCTCTTGAGCATCTATTATCTTTCTCTAAGATTGATGGAGTCTCTCCTCTTCCTTCTGCCTTTGACAGTGGGAAGTAATGGAGAAACCAAATCGGACTGTGCCTCTACACTGTACACTGTAGAAGGCCCATTCATTTGTTCATTTACTCAGTGCCAAGCACCTCCTGTGTGCCAGGTTCTGGGGATAGCCCCTGTCCTTGTGATTTAGCCAAGGCATCAGACCTGACATTTACGCTAAAGCATAGCATGTGATGGGACAGAGGAAGCTGAGGGCTGGGAAGCCACAGGAGGGACAACCCAGATGCCTGCGTGATCAGAAGCATCCCATTAAACATCCTGCAAAGGATAGCTAGTGCTCTTACTGGCTGAATCTCCTGGTGGAATTCCAGGCCTGTTGAAAGCAACCTGGGGACCAACTTTGTAGCAGTGGAGAGAAATCCATGTAGGCCTAGATCCAAGGGGTCAGGGTTGGGAGTGTCTGGAACCAGCATCTGGGAGTGACACTATTGGGAACCCCAGGTCTGACACGGGCCTGCTTGCAATGACTTATAGTGATTCTACCCAGAGTTGAGCAACGCAGGCAGTAGACGCCATGTGCATTTCACCACCAGCAGGAAGCCAGTGCCCCAGATAGCACAGGGCTGTGGGGGCCTCCTCAGGTAGCGGGCTAATTAGTCTACAGGGTAAACCACGGGGCACTGGGCTGGAGGGCCAGGAACTCACCTGCCAATTATTTCTCTTTGCAGAGGAGTTTAATTCCCCCTGATTATGCTCCTGGGGTAAATCACCCCCCACCCCAGGAGAGGTGCTCCATGGGGCTGAGGACCCAAGGGGTGAGTGCTCCCAAGCCTCTGCTGGGGGAAGCCAACTCCCCCACAGAGGGATTAAGGGTTGAAGGAGGCACTTTGGGAGCTGTTTGAAAGACTCCTCCCGCCTTGACCAGGCTGTGCTCCTGGGACTGGGCGCTGGGCAAGGAAGTGGATCAGAGACACGCCCTGCCCTGTCTGGAAGAGGAGGTGCACAAGTGACCAGTGACACTGGAGCAGGACAGGCCCCAAGCGAGGAGGACAGCCTGGCCCGAGGAGAGGGTGTGGCTGGCTTCCTAAGGATGGTAGCAGGACCCTTAATACCACCAACCATATTTCCTGGGTCCTTTCCCTTTCCTGCTCTCCCAGGCAAGAGTTTTATGTGTTCTCAAGCCCCCAGCACCCGCCTGCCCCTGTCTCCTGCTTCAGTGAGAAAACAAAACAGCTTAGAAGAGAAGCCCCATATATGTTGGCCCACCTGCCCTCCCAGCTGCATCACGTGCACTCCTCCTGGGACCCCGATCCCGCCCCCTCTGCCCACACAATGGCCCAGCACCAGCAAGGATGCCCTCTCTCCCCCAGTGTCCCTTGGGGTGCCTCCCCCATTTCTCTGCTCCTTGAAAGAGCTGTCAGTCCACACACCCAGTCTCTCTGTGCCCTTTCCAACCTGGCTCCCTCTGCCCCCCAACTCCAATGGCCATTGTCAAGCTCGCCAACATCCCAGGTTGCTAAATCCAATGTCCACTTCTCAGTCATCATTGCACTTGACCCGGGGGCTCACCCCCACCTCCAGAAGCCCTTTCCTCCCTAGACTTTGGGCCGCCACCGGGTCCTTTCCGCTCAGCAGGTTGCTTTTTCTGTGTCCCTGCTGATGGGTGGGGCCTCTCCTTTCTCTCTCCACCCGCTTCTTTCGTGATCTCATCTGCTACCCTTAGCTTCAAGTGCCCTTTATACCCTGATAACACCCACATTTGCATTTCTAGCCTGGGCCTCTCCCTTGAGCTTGTCTCTAGAGCTGCCCCTGCTCTTCCTCTTAATGTCTAAGGAGCATCTCGGACCCTATGCTTTCAGACCATGAGGTCTCTGCATAATTTCCCCCAGACCTGTACCTCCAACATCCCAGTCCAAGACCACTTCTTTCTGGCACCTTCCCCTTACTCCTTTCTTTCTTTTCCACCCAGCCCCACTTTGCCAGCAAACCTGGTCATCTCTAACTCCAAAACACATCAAAAGCAGCTGACGCCAATCACTTCCCACCCTCTCCTCTGCCACAGCTGGGGCCAGGCTCTGTCCCCCTGGACATCTCTCCCCTGGAGCCCTGCAGGCGTGTCCTCGATGCTCTCCCTGCCTCTGCCCTGCCTCCTTAGAGCCTTTCTCAACAGCAGAGGGACCATTTGATAAAGCAAACGAAATCCTCTAACTTCGCTGCTTAAAACCTCGCTTGGGGCCAGGCGCGTGGCTCACGCCCGTAATCCCAGCACTTTGGGAGGCCGAGGCAGATGGATCACCTGAGGTCAGGAGTTCGAGACCAGCCTGACCAATATGCAGAAACCCTGTCTCTACTAAAAATACAAAATTAACCGGGCGTGGTGGTGCATGCCTGTAATCCCAGCTACTTGCGAGGCTGAGGCAGGAGAATCGCTTGAACCCGGGAGGCAGAGGTTGTGGTGAGCGGAGATTGAGCCATTGCACTCCAAGCTAGGCAACAAGAGCGAAACTCTGTCTCAAAAACAAAACAAAACAAAAACAAAAAGAAAACAAAAAAACCACCTCCCATTCCTCCCATCTTACCCAGGGTGAAAGCCCGAGTCCTCCCAGGCCTGGAAAGCCCTACCCAGCCTCTCCCCTTCCCCATCTCATACCCTCCTGCTGTCCTGTTGCTCACTCTTTGCTGCTCCTGAAACACACCAGGCCTTTGCACTTGCCCCTGCCTGGGACATTCTTTCCACAGATGTACATCACCTTCTTCCCTGACCTCCATATCGCAGCCCGTCCCATGCCCTGATTCCCACCGCACTGACCACCTCTAACCTGTTATACACGATGTGTGGTTTACCGTCTGATTCCTTGCTAGTCTACAAGCTATTAAGGGCAGTTTTTTCTTGATAGTTCTGTCCGTTGTTTTGCTCATATAGTCCCAAGTACTTTGGCTCAGTTCCTACACATAGCAGGCTCTCAAGAGGTATTTACTGAGTAAATGGATAGGGGTGTAAACCAGGGCTGTGAGTCTACCCTCTTCACTTCAGCCAAAATAGCCTTTGCAAAACAGAAGTCTGATGACATCATTCCTGATTTTAAACTTTTCATGGTTACCCTTGTTCATCGGGTAAAGACCCAATGGGCCCTGCCCTGCGGAGGCCCCAGCTCCTTGCCGCCCCTCCCCATCTCTGACTGCTCCAGCCAAACAGGCTTTCAGCCCGGGTCCTCACCATGGTCCCCGTGCTACCGGCCCCGTGCCCCATGCTGCTCCCTCTGCTGGAAGGTACTTCCCTCCCTCTTCTCTTACCAATTTACAGTTTCCCCATCCCTACATCTCAGCTGGAGGGTCACTCCACTCTGGCCCAGGCTGAGTGTCCTCGTCACATCCCCTCAACAGCACCATGTGGCACTGCTCCCTGATGGCACTGCCCACAGACAGATGCCACATGCTGTGTGGTTGCCAGAGCCACGCCTTTCTTACCCACCACTGTCAGCTTCACAAGGGGAGGCACATCTGTCTTGGTTAACTGGCGTACCCCATGTAGTAGGTGGTTAGCACACACTGTGGGATCCCTGGGTGACCTCACGAGTGGAAGGATGCCTAGTGGTGCTGACCCATGACCTTGGCCTCCTGGGCCTATGTGGATTTCCTGGCCTTCATGTCATTGGTGTCCTGGACTGGTCACTGTGTCAGCCTCTCCCTGGGAACCTGTAGGACACCATCCATCTGGGAGCCTTTCACCTCCCTGGTACCTTGCAGCCAGTTTGTCATCCAATAAACTTTAGATGACCATGATGACAATGGGAGTGACAAAGATGATGATGATGACATTGATGGTGCCATGGAGACCCAAGACACTGAGGCTGAGCTGAGGGTGTGGGTGGCAGGAGAAGGCATGGAAGAGACAGGAGACTTTCCCACCTGCTTCCTCCACTAACCCTGCTGGTTCCTTCCTGGGCAGGGTACAAGGCGGAGGTGATGGTCAGCCAGGTGTACTCAGGCAGTCTGCGTGTACTCAATCGCCACTTCTCCCAGGATCTTACCCGCCGGGAATCTAGTGCCTTCCGCAGTGAAACCGCCAAAGCCCAGAAGATGGTAGGAAAGGATCTGGGGGATGAGAGGGAGGGAATATGGGGGTGAAAAGAGAGGGGTGGGGTCTGATCACATGGAGCCAGTTGGTCAACCCATCTGGAGCATTCACAGGGACCACAGCCCTGCTCCAGGCACCATGGAAGCAGATGAGGTTGAGGGTCATGGGAAAGTTAGTGGATGTTTGGGTCAATAGCACTCGGATTAGATCCTGATCATGCCTCTTACCAGGGGTGGAGCATGACCTTGGGAAAGGTCCCACAGTGCAGCTGACACTATTGAGGGCCCGCTCCTGCCCCTCCGTTACAGGACGGTGGCCCGCTCCTCCCCCTCCGTTACAGGACGGTGGCCCGCTCCTCCCCCTCCGTTACAGGACGGTGGCCGCTCCTGCCCCTCCGTTACAGGACGGTGGCCGCTCCTGCCCCTCCGTTACAGGACGGTGGCCCGCTCCTCCCCCTCCGTTACAGGACGGTGGCCCTCTCCTCCCCCTCCGTTACAGGACGGTGGCCCTCTCCTCCCCCTCCGTAACAGGACGGTGGCCCTCTCCTCCCCCTCCGTTACAGGACGGTGGCCCGCTCTTCCCCCTCCGTTACAGGACGGTGGCCGCTCCTGCCCCTCCGTTACAGGACGGTGGCCCACTCCTGCCCCTCCGTTACAGGACAGTGGCCGCTCCTGCCCCTCCGTTACAGGACGGTGGCCCGCTCCTGCCCCTCTGTTACAAGACGGTGGCCCGCTCCTGCCCCTCCGTTACAGGACGGTGGCCACTCCTGCCCCTCTGTTACAGGATGGTGGCTCACTGCACGGAGGCTGGTCTACTGCCTGCCACTCTCAGGCTGCAGGACCACTGCCCAGCAAGGCAGGCCAGAAGTGCCGGGGAGTTATTCCCAGGAGCAACCCTGAACCATGAGCGCTGGAGTGGGTGGATCAATACCGCAGCTTCTTTGGCCCTGGCAGGGGGAATAGTTCACAGAATGTTCCAGGCTGTCTCCCAGAGATGCCCTATTCGGCTGAGCTCAGATGCTCTCAGCTCTACACTGCGCATTCATGGCCCTGTGTTGGTTGCCCACTTTCCAGTCTCTCCCTCCCAACTACTGTTTCCCAGAATCACCTCCAAATAAACCACTTGCCCCACCTTGTCAATGGAGGGTCTGCTTCTGAGGGACCCAGCCTGAGGCTGCCCGTTTCCTCCTCCATGAGGTAGGGGTGATAACAACAGGACCCGGCTGCAGATTTGTTGTGGGTTGCAGTGAAGTTGAGATAACACGAACACTATTCCCACGCTGCGCAAATGCTTAAGAGCCTGTAATCCTGCCAGCAGCGCTGTAGTTGGAGATGCGCAAAAACTACCCATCAGAGCTGCTGGCTTGTCCCAGGCCATGGGAGGAGGTGCAGAGGGGACCCAGGAGCCGAGTGGGGTTTCTCAGAGTTGAGGAGTGACTTTTGGCAAGGGGCAGAGGGGTCATCAGCAGTGCAGGTGGAGGTGAGAGTCGGGTGTAGTGGAAACAGAAAGAAGGGGATGGGGTGTGAGATTCATGCATGCCCCGGCCCGGCCACTCAGCACTGTGTGACCGTGATCAAGCCTGTCCACCTTGGAGAATCATGCATGGAGCGGGGCTGCCAGTAGGAGCAAAGGGCACCTCCAGGTAGGAAGTGGGCCTGTCTGCCCTGCAGAGGGTCCCAGGGGCTGTTGTCTTCCCTTCTCACAGCTCAAGGAGCTCATCACCAGCACCCGCCTGGGAACTTACTACAACTCCAGCTCCGTCTATTCCTTTGGGTGAGTTGTCCTTGCCCCTGACCAGCTCCTGCAAGAAGCTGAGATTCAAAGAATGGGAGGGGCCTCTGTAGGCTTCTGATGCAATGCCTTCATGTTTCAAATGGGGAAACTAAGGCATAGAGAGGGAACTTGGCTTCCTGCATGTCACCCTCCCTTCACTGGGCTCATCTGTAGAATGGAAACATGGGTGTGATAGGTTTGCACCAGACAATGACTGTGATGGCTGATCAAGGGCCTGACACCATCAGGCGAGGCGATGTTGGAGGGGCATGGGGTTAAAAGCATTGGCTCCAGGGCCCGACTGCCCCGTCCACATCTGGTTCTGCTACTTGCGGCATAGTTTATGAGACACAAGTTCACCTCTCATGCCTCAGTTTTCTCATTCGTAAAATAAGGATTATGAGAGCGCCTCCTTCAGAGGTCGCTAGGAGGCTTCTGCGTGAAGACGGACAGCAATGGCTGAGGTGCGGAAAGTGCTCGATGTGCATGAGCAGGGGTGGAGCTGGGGCCAGACCTCAGAATCCTTCCCTGGCCTCTCTCACTTCTGCCTGCCTTAGGGAGGGACCCCTCACCTGCTTCTTCTGGTTCATTCTCCAAATCCCCGAGCACCGCCGGCTGATGCTGAGCCCCGAGGTGGTGCAGGCACTGCTGGTGGAGGAGCTGCTGTCCACAGTCAACAGCTCGGCTGCCGTCCCCTACAGGGCCGAGTACGAAGTGGACCCCGAGGGCCTAGTGATCCTGGGTCAGTACTGCGAGTGGAAACGTGGGGTTGGCCTCATGAGGTTGGGGGAAACAAGCTGTGGTGTGGCCCGGGGAGGCTGCCTGCCAGGCCTGGGGTGCTGTCAGGGTGGGCCCCCCAGGAGAGCCCCCCAGGTGAGGTAGCAGTGCCATTGCATTCAAGGAGCCAGGAAAGAAGGGTGGGATGGGGGCATTTAGGGTAAATCTCAGACAAGGCTGGCTCCAAGGGTCTCCTCTAATTTTATTTTCATTGTATTTTCTTTTCTTTTTTTTTTTTTTTGTTCTTGTTTATTTGTTTGTTCATTTCCTTTTATCAGAAGCCAGTGTGAAAGACATAGCTGCATTGAATTCCACGCTGGGTACGCTATTTTTTTTTCCCCTCCCCATTTTCCTTTTGAGTTGGCATTTGTCTTGACTTTGTTGTGTATCAGGGGGACACATGGCTTCTGTTGTGTGTGCAGGGAGCCCTGGCCAAGAGTCACCCAGGGGATGCCATGGTGGACTCAGCGATGTGTCCCAAGCAAGTCTTGGAGCCTGTAGGGGGAGAGGAGGTGGCGACGTGCATGCGTGTATTTGTGTGTGTCTTGTAGACGGGTGTGCATGCGTTCCTGTGTGGGTGTGAGGATGAGTCAGGTTTAGTGGTCCACGAACGTGACTCTCCTCTATCATTCACTTCAACCTGCCCACAAGCTAGTTTCCACTGATGGTAGAAAATCATCTTGCCAATTCACGGTTTGTCAGTCACGTTGGTTTTAAAACTTGGTCTTTTGGAGGTAGCGGTGCCATTGCATTCAAGAACGCTCCTTCCCTCTTTTCCTTTCCTTCCCAGTCAGGCTCATCAGCCCTCCCTCCCTACCTGGTGCCGTATTGCTAGAGTCACCTTGCATTTCTCCAAGCGGACCCACAATCTTTCAGCTGACCAGCACAGTCACCACGCTGCACAAGGCAGGAGGTGCTGTCCAAGTTGTAGTTTGTGTGAGTTGTGCAGTGCACCAACTGGCTGCTGGACTCTATGGCCCCTAAATTCTCAGATTCCTCCCACACTATCTAGTGTTGTCACCCAGAGCCAAGGTGGGGGTGAGCGTCTCAACCCCTTCTCAGGGAGGGAGGCAGAGTTTAAATCCTTGTTATACCTTTCCTTACCTTCCCGTCTTCCCATCCTGCTGGTCAAATGCTTGCTTCTTTGTTGGATGGAGGTGATGAGGTCAAAGTACAGTTTTCAAAGAGGTGAAATCATGATTCTCATACAAAGATAGAGTGACCATGTGTCAAATATTTATTTGGCTGATTAATGGGGGAACGAGTAGAATGGTAAAGAATGCAAGAAACTGATCTATTTGTCTATCTATCTATCTATCTATCTATCATCTCTGTTGATATCTGTCTGCTTGTCTATCTAGTTATCTAACTAGCTAGCTGTCTATTATCTATCTGTCTGTCTCTCTGTCTCTGTCTGTCTAGCTAGCTAGCTGTCTGTTTATATCTATCTATCTATCTATCTATCTATCTATCTATCTATCTATCTATCATCAATCATTAATGGAAAAAGAGAATTGCTAGAATAAGATTACCAAGTTAGATACAAACCTGGTTAAGGTCCTACCAGGCAAGAAAACTCAAACCTTTGGAGTTGTCTTTTCTAGTGAATTAAAATCATTGACAGCTTATTACAGTCTTCTGAAAGTTAACATCTACCTCTACAGAGTCTGAGGTTGATAATCTACAACCAATAGTAAGTCAGAGATATTACTCCTGAGAGCCTCAGGGGGACTTAATCAGATGATGCTTGGAGACAGAGACTGGCTCATTGCAGCCTGGACACCGAATCTGGTCAATTGCTGCCTGATTTTGTATAGCCCATGAGCCAAGAATGACATATATATATATATAACAGAGTCTCACTCTGTCATCCAGGCTGGAGTGCAGTGCCGCGATCTTGGCTCATTGCAACCTCCACCTCCCAGGTTCAAGCAATTCTCCTGCTTCAGCCTCCTGAGTAGCTGGGACTACAGGTGCCTGCCACCATGCCTGGCTAATTTGTATATTTTTAGAAGAGATGAGGTTTTGCCGTGTTGGCCAGGCTGGTCTCGAGCTCCTGACCTCAGGTGATCCACCTGCCTCCACCTCCCAAAGTGCTGGGATTACAGGTGTGAGCCACCACGCCTGGCTCCATAGGCCATTTTTCAATTATTAAAAAATATAAAAGTCAGCCAGGCATGGTGGCTCATGCCTGTAACCCAGCACTTTGGGAGGCAGAGGCAGGCAGATCACCTGAGGTCAGGAGTTTGAGACCAGCCTGGCCAAGAAGGCGAAACCCCGTCTCTTCTAAAAATATAAAAATTAGCCGGGCATGGTGGTGCGCACCTGTAGTCCTAACCAGTCAGGAGGCTGAGGCAGGAGAATCACTTGAACCCGGAAGATGGAGCTTGCAGTGAGCTGAGATTGTGAGGTTGTGCCACTGTACTCCAGCCTGGGCGACAGAGTGAGACTCCATCTCAAAAAAAAAAAAAAAAAAAAAAAAAAAAGAAAGAAAGAAAGGAAAGGAAAAGGTCCTATGGAAAGTTATTTTTTCTCCTGCAATAGAAGTGCTATGTAATAGCCTCATGTTGCCTCGTGCCTCTGTGTCCCCATGTTCCTGGCAGTTGTTCTGTAATTATCTGTGCTCAGTGGGTGTTCGTTTCATGAATGAATGATTGAACAAATGAATGAAAGCATGAATGAGGAGACTGGTTCAGTGCATGTCCAGAGCACAGAGTCTCAGGGGGCAGAGATAACAACTCAAATCCTTGAAGTCGACTTTATGAGCACTTCCTTCATGCCAGGCCCCATTCCTGCGCTGAGGACACCAGGATGACCGTGTCCTCACCCCTGCCCTCGGAGGAGCTTTAAGCCCCATGAGGGAGACAGACACATAAACAGATTCTCATAACACCAGGTGCCAGTGTGAGAATAGAGGCCCCAGAGGCAGTGGAGAGAGGGAATTGTTCGTTCCAAAGCAGAAGAGGGGGCAAATCAAGAGCCTCACACAGAGTCCCAGATCTACAGGAGGGAGGGGTTGCTCCTGACTGGGGGATCCTGGAAGACTTCATGGAGGGGGCATCAGATTTGGGCATGGGCCGGGCGTGGTGGCACAAGCCTGTAATCCCAGCACTTTGGGAGGCCAAGTTGAGCGGATCACCTGAGGTCAGGAGTTCGAGGCCAGCCTGGCCAACATGGCAAAACCCCATCTCTACTGAAAATACAAAATTAGCTGGTCATGGTGGCCCATGCCTGTAATCCCAGCTACTTGGGAGGCTGAGGCAGGAGAATTGCTTGAACCCAGGAGGTGGAGGTTGCAGTGAGCCAAGATTGCACCATTGCACTCCAGCCTGGGCAGCAAGAGCAAATTCCATTAAAAAAAAAATTAGCTGGACATGGTGGTGTGCACCTGTAGTCCTAGCTACTCGGGGGTGGGGGTGGGGGGCTAAGGTGGGAGGATCACCCGAGCTCAGGAGGTCGAGGCTGCAATGAGCTGTTGTGATCGCATCACTGCGCTCCAGCCTGAGTGACAGGCTGTCTCAACAATAAAATAAAATAATTTTCAAAAGAAAAAGAAATTCAGGCATGGGGGTAGGCAGGAATTTGTCAGGGCGAGAAGAAGAAAGGGTTCCCTGAGCAGAGGGAATGGCAGGGGCAAAGGCTGGGGGAGGGGAACACCCAAGGCGTGTTCAGTTAATTCCTCCCAGCCCCGAGAGGTGCCAGGCTCCCTGAAGGTGTTTCTGATTAACAAGAGGTTAGCACACACCTCTCCACGGAATTCGTCTCAAAAAAAAAAAAAAGGGTAATTATTAAAGTGGCAAGAGCAAAGAATCTGCTTGGAGCAAGATTTAAAGAACACAAAACCCTAGGAAGAGCCAGCCATCTTTCCCCAGCTGCTGGTGGAGGCCCTGTCCCTTCCCTAGGCAGACATTGTTGTTCTCTCTCTGGGGAGGTCAGCTCCCCACTGCAGTCAGCATGGCCAGGGGTCAGGGAGAAGGGGCTGAGCCACAGGTGGCAGCATCAGAGCAAAGTGTATTCACCTCCATTCCCTTCCTGGTCCTCAGCACTGCCCAGAGGAGGTCATAGGACAGGGATTATTATTACATCCATTTGACAGAACTTGGAATGGCTAAGCCACTGGCCCAGACTCAGTTAACTACCCAGAGGTAGTGAACATCTACCTCTACAGAGTCTGAGGTTGATAATCTGCAACCAATAGTAAGTCAGAGTTATTACTCCTGAGAGCCTCAGGGGGACTTAATCAGACAATGATTGGGGACAGAGACTGGCTCACTGCAGCCTGGACACCGAATCTGGTCCACTGCTGCCTGATTTTGTATGGCCCATGAGCCAAGAATGACATCATCACACAGCTGATGAGTGTTGGTGCTAGGTGGGGAGGGTAGTGCCCCTCCCTCCTTCTCTCCAGTTCCCTCCCCATATACCCCCTCCCCTGGGGGCCCAGCAGATGGCACTAGCCTGGGGGGCCTGCCCTCAGGCTGACCAAGCTGACAGGGGGACTTTTGCTTGCCTGTGGCCTTCCAAAGAAGACGATTTAAAGCAGAGAAAACAGACTGAAAACTCAGGTTTTATAATTTCATGTCACCAGGCTGCCTCCCACATCCCAGGTTCATTCCTAAATCCCCACTGGCTCCTGGAAGAACACCAGGCTTCTGGCGAGGTTTAAATGAGATACTGGATGCTCCACGGGAGAGAACATGTTCACTGGCAGACCCTGGTGCCTAGATCGAACACACAGTCGGTGCACAGTCACTGTTTTGAATGAATGAATGAATGAATGAATGATGCAGGTGGTACTGCTTTGTAAGTTCTAGCAGTGCATCAGAGCTTACGGATTAGATGGAAGAGCAGAGACTCACTGGTGTGTGGGGTAGGGGGGTGGGGTATGATGGTGAAACAGTTGTGAAGTGAGGCAGCCGTGAGATGGGCTAGGTCTGAGCCTCAGGCGGGGCCAGCTGCAGGATGAAAAGTCACAGGCCTTTCTCCCCAGCCCTACCTGCTCCGTCTCCCTCACACCCACCTGAGGAACCAGGCACTGCCTTTATTGAGCCCCTACTGTGCAAGGTGCTGTGCTGGGCATTCAAACGTGTATCATCCTACAGCCTCTGCTGGCGGCCCTGCAAGGGTGGTGTTATCGTCCCATTCTATAGATGAGGAAAGCAAGGCCCAGGAAAGATTAGGTGGTGGCTGGGCAAACCCAGATGTGTCTGGCCCAGGTCTGTGCAATGGACACAATCATTGAAAGTATCTCATACAGCTGTTGTGGGCATTGAGCGAGACAGTGAGGGAAGGCATTCAGTTCAGTTTCTGGCCTGTAGCAAATGCTTGATAAGCACCTGTTTTATTCTGATGGCTTCACCATCATTAGCTCAAAGCTCATGTCCTCCCCCCAGGGCAGCCTCCCAGACTCCTCCTTAGGGCACTCCCTTCTCTCTACCGGAAGTGAAGCCCTCATCCCTTCTTCTCCTCATTGCCTGTGGCCTCGCTGGTCTCCACAGCAGCCAGAGGAGTGTGTGGTCCAAGCCAGCCCATGTCCAGCCTTGCCCAACCTTCTGTGGCTCCCTATGGCTGCAGGAGAAAGCAGCGCCCATCCTCGGAATGGCCTGGGCCAGGCCTCCCTGCCTTCAGCTTGTCCTCTAGATACACGTGCCCTGTGTGTACTTTTCTCAAAGCTGCCCGGCTCGCCCCAGCCTCTTTGCTCACGCAGGGACCCCCAGGATGCCCCCAGCCCACAGGCCGGGTTTGAAGCCGTCACCTCCTGAGCTATTCTTGCCTGTTCTGTGTCTGTCTGTCCCCGCTGTCATCCATGTCCCCAGGCAGCGACTGGATTTTTACCTGGGCACTGAGAAGGCGTGAAGCTCAGTGTGTGTCCATTCCATGAGTGAATGACTGAACCAATGAACAAATGCATGAATGAGGATACTGACAGGGAAAGAGAAGGATGGGGTAGAGCATGTCTGGCTATCCCCACCCGGCTCCCCTGCCCAGCCCATCCTGCCTGGTGGAGGACCTTGAGGGACCTGGCTCCCCAGGGTCCCCTCCTTCTGGCTCACAGGAATCAGGGGCTGTGCCCCTCTCCCCGCTCCAGGTTGTTACCGCTACAGCTACGTGGGCCAGGGCCAGGTCCTCCGGCTGAAGGGGCCTGACCACCTGGCCTCCAGCTGCCTGTGGCACCTGCAGGGCCCCAAGGACCTCATGCTCAAACTCCGGCTGGAGTGGACGCTGGCAGAGTGCCGGGACCGACTGGCCATGTATGACGTGGCCGGGCCCCTGGAGAAGAGGCTCATCACCTCGTGAGTCCCTGGGAAGGAGGGCAGGAGGGAGGGCTGGAAAAGGGAGTGGTTGATGGGGGAGTTGAAAGTCACACACAGCATTCTTAGACAAGGGAGGGTAGGACCTTGGGCCTGGGTATCTGGGAGACAGGACGGCTAGCTTAGAGGGGATAGGGGAGAGGAGGCTGGAGATGGTTGTGTACTGGGGGCGCTTCCCCTCCGCGAGCCTCAGTTTCCCCATCTGTAACAAAGCCGTTGTTGTAGATGACTCCTGAAGTCAGCTCTGGGAGGCACCGTGGCTTGTTGGGATGTTTCAGAGTCTGGCTGCAGCCTGGACTTTCAACCTCTGGGCTCGTTCCTAAATCCTGACTGCTTCCTGGTAGAACACCCACCCTCTCTGCTTCCCAGGCTTCTGGTGGGGTTTAAATGAGATACTAGATTCCCCATGGGAGGGGATGTCTTCACTGCCGGGCCCTCGTGCCTAGACCAAACGCACAGTAGGTGTGCAGTATCTATTTTGAGTGAACGAATGAATGATGTAGGTGGTACTGCTTTGCAAGTTCTAGCAATGCATCAGAGCTCACGGATTAAATGTAAGAGCAGAGAGGCTTACTGGTGTGTGGGGCGGGGGTGTGGGGATGTGACGGGGAACCCCCTGTCTCCTAGCTGCGTGCCCTAAGGCAAGTTACTTTGCCTCTTAGAACCTGCTTACCTTGCCGGATCATTGGAGGATTTAAATCAGACTATCTGTGCCATGATCCTTACACATAGTGAGTGCCTAGCACTTACACGCTAGCCATTATTGTTATCATTATATATGCTCTAACTGGGACTGGGCCGCAAAAGGCATTGAGTGCCAGGAGCCATTTGGACTTTGATATTTGGTAAGTGGGGAGCTATTGAAAGTTCTTGAGCACAGAAGTAGGGCTTTAGGGCATAAGATATGGAGTGGAGTACAGAAGTGATCAGGATCAGAGGGCAGGTGGTTGGGGGTGGGGAGGAGGGACTGGAAATGGCCTTGACCTCTGGGAGCCTGGTCCTCCCACAGGATGGGGAGATGGGTGTTAGCCTACAAAGCACTGCAGGAGGTGGGGAAGATGCTCTGGGCTGGGCAGTTCTCAGCGATTGTTTATTGAGCACTTACTTTGTGCTGGGCGTCAGGCTGATGCCTCTTCTGTCTCACTTGGGCTGTGGCCAGCCTCCAGGCAGATGGGGATGGGACCAGTGTGTTCAGATCAAGCGCAGTCTTTGAATGTGAGCTGGCAGAGGTTCTTGCCACACCCCTCCCCCAGGGCCTCTCCAAGCTGCTCTCTCCTTGTCACCCCTCCTGCTGTCCTGCTGGGTGTGACCTCGATCTGCGGCATGTGCGTGGGCTGAGTTTCTGGAGGGCTCTGGGAAGTGCAGAGAAGCCAGACACCATCTGACTTCCAGGTCCAAAAAGGGTGGGGACACTTAGGGGTTTCCCCTGGGGCTTCTCCAGGTGCCTCTCAGCCTGGGAGGGGACCTGACTGCCAGGCCCAGCTCTGTTCCTACTCACTGTGGCTCCTGGTGGCTCTCTCATCCCAGACCCTTGGAGAAGCTCTAAAATGACAGGTCAGACAACATTTGGGGTTCTCAAGCTTGTACCCCAGACACCTGCTAGGGAATGGGGGTGAGGGGGACTTTGGTGGTGATGGGAAGACAGAGCAGGTGGCCCCTTGCTCAGTTTCAACCATGTGCTTTGATTCTGCGTTCCATATTTCATTTATAAGAAGGGCTCTGCCGCTAGGTAAATAAAATAAAACCCCCCAACAATGAAAGCTAAAGCCCCCATTAAAGGTGACCTCCAGGTCTCTTCCATCCTAATATCGTATCTCCCACCTCCCAGGGAAGATGAGCCGGTAAGGCCAAAAAGGACGTGGCTGTATGGGAGGGTGGGGGGCACCGGTGTGGTTGGGGAGACTTGGGTGCTGCAGCAGGAAGATCAAGCTGGAATGGTAGGAAGAAGGGACGAGGGCCTGGGGGGTGAGGGGGGTGGTGCCTGCTACTGGAGGCCACCTCCCTCCCCTGGCAAGAGGCCAGGGGAAATGCCCCATCCCCGGACCCTGGGCACCAAGACCCTCCCAGGGAGACCCTTGGGGTTATGCCCACCATGCCTCCAGCTGGCTGCAGGCTGCTTGGGTGCCATGTGTAGCGATTTTGAGGCTGTGCTTGGAGGAGCTCAGGTACTCGCTTGCCAAGGTGCCTGAAATCCCTCCAGCAGCACCCCTTCCTCCTGTCAAGGCCCAGGTGCCCACGCACAGTCTGCAGGCAGGGAGGCTATTGGGTTGCCCATTCAGAGGGAGGTGGGGCCGTTAGTTTCTTATAAATTGACCCATCAGATGCGCTGGACTCCAGAGAGTGTTGCCATTGACACTGGGAAGTTTGGGGGAGGTTGGTGAGAGGGTGAAGGGGAGCTGGGGAACCCCTGTCTGAGACAGGCAGACCAGGGGCACCTACATATGTGGGAGGGTACCAGCCATCACAGACAGTGCCTAGCGCAGGCCTATCTCTGCCATGGACTGCCGGTAGGGCCTCAGTTTCCCTATCTGGAAATCAAGCAGCTGACCCCAACAGTGTCACCAGTCTTTTCAGGGCTGACATTCCAGATTTCTAAAAGCCCAGAAGTCTAAGATACGGTTATTTGTTCCGAGCCTCCCAGGCGCCAAGCTCTGGGCAGATTTCTGGGGCACCCTGGGGGTCACGAGACCACACCTGCCTTCTCCCTGCCTATCCTTGAGCACAGCCAGGAGTCGCGGTGCCAGAAACGGTGGTCCCTGCAGATGCCAGTCTAGTCTTCCTGCCAGGGACGCTAGGGGTCACAGATGATTCTGTAGCAGGGTGGAGGGGTCTGGGGAGGGAGCATGGGACTCGAGCCAGCCGTCATCATCAAACTGTAAGCTCCAGAAGTCTGGGGAACCTCCTGGCCTCTCTCACCCGAGGAGCTAGCCTGGTCCTTGGAGGGCCTTCAGTCTGTCCTCTGGGGCTGGGGAGACACAGAATTCTCCCCACAGACACACAGTGGTCTCTGGTAGGAGACCCGGACCCAGAACCCAGATGTCCAGACTCCCGTCCACCCTCCCCCAGCAGCCGCCTGCCGCCCTCCCTGCCACTCCCCTCCCAGACCCCAGCCCAGCCTTGCCACCTTTCTGTTCTGCCAGGGTGTACGGCTGCAGCCGCCAGGAGCCCGTGGTGGAGGTTCTGGCGTCGGGGGCCATCATGGCGGTCGTCTGGAAGAAGGGCCTGCACAGCTACTACGACCCCTTCGTGCTCTCCGTGCAGCCGGTGGTCTTCCAGGGTGAGAGGTCAGGGGTCCCTGGGGCAGGGGAGGGGTGGTGGTAGAATCCAAGGGCCCTCCACTGGGCTCACTGCTCACCTTTTTTGCCCAAATTGAGGATGGGATGGGGAGAGGGAAGATTCTGGAAGCTCCTGCTGCTCTCCACTCCCCACCCCGGCCCCCCTCTTCCTTCCGTCGTTTGCACTTCCACCCCCCTCTTCCCCTTGACCGTCCTACCATTCGCAGTCTCTGTCTTCCTGGCATCGCTCCCTTGCTTCCCTCCTCTTTCTCTGTCCTTCCTTCTCTCTCCTTTTCTCTTTTCTGTGCTGACCGCCTCTCCTCCCTCCTCACTCGCCTGGACCTGTGTCCCCTCCCCTCTGCCCCTCACCCCCTCCCTGCCCTCTCCCCTTGGCACCCACCGGTGGCTGGGCCTGGAACACGGGTCTGTTTGCAGCAGGACTAAGAACTCCTTGGATTCCGCCCTAGACAGTCCGCTTACAGCCAAGAGGGCGCAGGGAGCTTGGGGAGGTGTGATGGCAGCACAGCCAGGCCATGGCCACTGGTGTGGCAGGTCTCCCACTGCCTTCCCAGCCCCCACCCTCCTCCTGCTTCGGGACCTCCCTCCTTGCCCCCTTCCCAGGAAGGGCACGTCCCACCCCGCATGGGACAGCTGTCCTGGGCCTGGACCAGCCATACTTCTGCGCAGGAGGCCCAAACTTTGCCATTTCTGGAGCTCAGGAGGGGAGGATGGCAGAGAGGAGGCCATAGAGTGTTGGCAGCTGCTTCTGCCTCACCTCTCTCCCCACTCTTCTCCCTCCCACTCAGGGTCCCAGCCCTCTTCTCGGTTTATCCCCAAACTGTCTGGCATAGACCTGGGTCCCCAGCTGGCCAAACTGGAGCGCTAAATGGGTAGCAGAGCTGTTCCCTTGGGAGTCTGACACAGGCTCGAGGCGGGAGGGAACAAAGGGCTTTGGGGGCCCTGGCCCAATGGAGAGATGGCCAGGGCAGGTGAGCATGCTCCTGTCCTGACCCCTGGACCCCTCAGCCTCTCACGGTGTAGCCTCAACCAAGCCACTCCTTTTCTCCGAACCTCATCTTGGAAAAGGGGAACAGCTCTCTCTCCCCCAGCCACCACCGTGAGGCCTGTGCAGGTGTGAATGCATTTTGTAAACTGGCGAGTGCTGTCCCGCAAATATCAATAACTAACACGGATCGAGCACTTACTACATGCCAGGCTGTTTGAATGTTTATGTCTTTTTAATCCACTCTACTACCCTATGAGGTGTGTGCTATTACTGTCCTCATTTTACAGATGAGGAAACTGAGACCCAGATTCACACAATCACATTCAACCACAGCAATTTGCTGGCAGAGGTGGTAGGGGTGGTGGGGTTACAAGCTGCGCCAGCCTGCTGGGAGGTGCAGCCAGGGGACCCCTGTGTAACAGCTGCTCTCCTGGTCCAGCCTGTGAAGTGAACCTGACGCTGGACAACAGGCTCGACTCCCAGGGCGTCCTCAGCACCCCGTACTTCCCCAGCTACTACTCGCCCCAAACCCACTGCTCCTGGCACCTCACGGTGAGACCCCACCCTGCCTGCCCACCTGCCCTCTGCCGCAAGCACACTACAGGTCCCTGGTGACCCGGGATGAGAGGGGGCAGTGTCCCGCCTCTGCTGAAGCGCCCACAGGCTGAGCCCTGGGTACACATCCTGCCAGGGTGGAGAGGGCTGTGGGCGAGGTCTCCCTCTGTGGGTCACAGCAATGCCTGTTTGTTGAGTGACTGACAGACTTTAGCCCCACCTGGGATTCTGTGTTTCCTTCTCTTTGTTGTTAGGGAGGTGGGTTCACCAACCTGGCCACACCCCATGGGCCACCTGATGGCCCGCTCCTCCCTCCCAGGTGCCCTCTCTGGACTACGGCTTGGCCCTCTGGTTTGATGCCTATGCACTGAGGAGGCAGAAGTATGATTTGCCGTGCACCCAGGGCCAGTGGACGATCCAGAACAGGAGGTACCACTTCCTCTCCTCCCTCTGGCTTCCTTTCCTCCCTCCCCCTCCCTCTCTTCCCTCCTCAATAGTGACCCCCTCATTGGAAGCCCAAGTCCCCAATCTCAGAGGGGCAGCAAGGGGAGCGAGCAGAGGCTGGGGCTGGTGTCAGGCCTGTTGCCCTTGACCTTGTCCTCGTCCCAGCCTCCGCCCTGGCCCCGGCTTCCCCTCTGGCTACCCCAGAGGTCTCAGACACGTTTGGTCATCAGACACCTTGGATGTTTATTCTAATTACAGCAAAATTGTCTCATCTTCTTGGGTGCTGTAACCCCCTCTGGCACCCTCAATCCTTCAATAAAATGTTTCCAGAGCCAAAGGACTCATGGGCACTTTGGTGCCTTCCCTCTAAACCCAAGGCGTACCATCAGAGGTGCCTCTCCCTTATCACGAACCCCTGCTGCACAGCCAGGCCCAATCCCATTGCACAGGGTAACATGGAAATCATGGGTGCCCTGGATCCCCCGAATCCCCAACGGGGCACTTGCCCTCTTCCCTGCTCTTGCCCTTGCTCCCTCTGGTAACTAAGTTTCCGACAAAGAAGTGAGTCCTTACAGAGATGTGAGCAAGAGACAGTGGGGTTAGGCTAAGCGACTACCGTTGCCAGGGTCACTATGGCATGAGGCCAGTAGGTGCCCACTGGGCCTGGCCACCAGGAAGCCATGGGTGGTGCCGACAGCTTCAGAGGCCTGGGCTGGGCAAGGAGGCAGGGAAACAGAGACAGGGTGTATGGACAGGTTTTCATTTGTCTGGGAAGAAAAGAGAACTAGGAAATTCAAGGAAGGGGACATTTAAGACGGGAGAGGTTCCATATCTCAAATGTGTGGATCATCCCAGCATCCCCAGAGGGAGAGAAGGAGGCTCAGGTGCAGGTAATATTGTTTAGAGTGGGGAGGGTGGGCAAGGGGAGAGGGAGGCCCTCCCATGGCTCCATTGTTGGGGAGCAGAGGTTTGGGGAGAGAGAAGAGGAATATTGAAGCAGCGATGGCAGAGCCAGGGAGACCCTTTCCCTGGGAATCCGGGGTGAAAACGGTCATCGTGTCAGCGTCAGGAAAGAGGAGACTCTATCCTTCATCGCAGGTTGGGCCTCTGCCCTCCCTTCCAACCTCGGAATTCTGGGGGCCTAATGGGTTCAGAGTCTAGTATGAAAGATTTGTCATTTCTTGATTTCACAGAGTTTGAATATCTAAGATGCCAGTCTTGGAAGATGCCAAAATTGGAAGGCTCTGGGGCTCTAGAATTCTTGGATTTCTGGGGTGTGTGTTCCCAATCACCAACACTTGTAATTTGCTTGTTGGCTGATCCTATTCAAAAGGATCATCCAGACAAAAGGTGACGAAGAATGACAAGGTTTGCTTGACTCCTTTTTGCAATTTATCTGGGACTAGGATTAAAAGAAAGGAGAAGAAATACTCATGGCATGATCTAGGGCTATGCTGTTGGGGGTAACATGGGGAGTGACTTTGGGCCTGTGCTGTTGGGGGTGATATGGCGAAGCAGTGCCTTCAGGGCTTTGCATTTGGTGGTGATATGCTGATGGAGTGTGACATCAGGCCTGTGCTGCTGGGGTGACATGCTGGTTCAGTGATGTCAGGCCTGTGCTGTCTGGAGAGCAGAAGGCTTCTGTAGCATGATGGGGGCACCTCTGGGAACGGCTGCCCTGACCCCTCATGGAGCTCACTTGAAGCCTCCTTGCTACTCACCTAGGCTGGGGATGGCTGGCTTCACCCCCGCTCACAGGAACCCGCAGGGTGACCCTGAGATGGATCCATGATTCACAGTTCTGCGAATGATGAGAACATGTTTTCCTGCCTCCCTCCCTACCGCAGAGCTGAACTTTATGTCTCAGGGAGGCCCACAAAGGAGAAGGAACAGTCTTGGGTCTGACACTCCCTGTCTCATCCCTCACCCCCTTGGCGACTCCATTTGCCAGAGGCGGGGCCCCAGCATTCAGGGGTTGTGGGGGGTTCGGTGGCCTGGAGTTAGGTGCTAAGACAGGCGTTCAGTGCATTGGCCCAACAACTTGTGTGGTCATTGGCGCCGTTCCTGTTTCCCAGAGAAGGAAATCAAGGCTCAGCAGGATTAGGTGGCACGCAGATGGGTCCACAGATGGGGTCTCTCCCATACCCCCAACAGCCACAAACAGCAGGCCAAAGGATGCTCCACCCCATGCTTCCTGTGGGAAGGCCCTCCTCCCTCCCTGATGCAGTTGGGCAAGGGTCTGGGTACTGGGGAGACAGGGACTTCGTGAGCTACCCTTGGGTAATGACAGAGAGAGTGTGGAACACGGATGGGAGAGTCTTTTCCCTAATCCAAAGGAATGATGCCTTGATGGTGAATTTGAGGCACTAGGACAGCTTCCAACAGGGTGGAGGGATCTCGCCAGAGTCTGAGCACCACTGAGCTATAGAATGTGTGGGCTGAACTGGTCCTAGCACCCAACCTATGGTACAGGTGGGGAAACTGGGACCAGCGAGGGCTAAGGACTTGGCCTCTTGTCCCTGTCTTTTCTGCCTTTCAGTGGTGGAGATGGGCTTCAGGGTGTAGCCAAGCGGTGGCTGGGTGGTGAGGATGAGGCCTGACAGCTCCCTGTGCCCCCATAGCTCCCCCTCTCTCTGTTCAGTCCTCCCTCGCCACACGGGGGTGGAAGTGCTCAGCAGGGGCTGGCATCAGGGTTTGCATGGATCCCTAGATGCACCCCCTTCCTTGTCTGTGAAACGAGGGGTTCAGGCCAGCCCAGGGCCCCAATCTTTGATTGCTTACCCATCAGGAAGCTATTGTCTCCCATACAAGTTGTGTTTATTAATTCCTGGCCAAACGCCATTCCAAGTCAGGCTGGTGAGGTGGAAAGCGCTTAAGTGTCGAAGCCAGACAGGCCAGGGCTCAGCACCTGTCTCCTCTGCTTCCTACCTGGGCGAGGACTTACATCTCCCAACCTCAGGTAACTCATCTGAAAAAAGGGCGTGAAAGAGACCCCCACCCTGGGAAGACTAAGTGAGACAACGCGTGGAGAACATTGCACACGCGGGCTTAGGTCAAGTGCAACAAACCTGCGTTCATCACCGGCTCTCACTCTGCTCTGGGCAGGCACAAGCTGAGGGGTTTATGGTGCTGGCTCTTTCAGCCTCAACAACCCAGCGAGGAAGCAGGTGCCTGTACTGCCTTCACAGACCAGTGAGACACCCAAGACACAGAGAGATGAAGTAATTTGCACAAAGTCACCCAGCTCTTTGAGCCAGAGTTAAGGCCAGGCAGCCTGATCTGGAGTGCACGTGGGTGCACAGATGCATGTCTGTGTGCGTGCGTACATCCATGCATGTCTGTGCACGTGTACGTGCATGTGTGTGTGGTCCACGTGTGCGATTCTTCCCTCTGAGCCTCTAGCGGCCCATGCCAGCTGGTGACTCCCTCAGCCAAGGCATCCCCAGCCAACCCACTGGCATCTGGGTGGGGGGATCGACAGTTTCTGTGGCTGTCCCACCAGTTCCAGAGCGGCCTGGGAAGTCCCAGCCCTTTCTTCTCAGACTTTCATTAAGGGTCCAGGGTCCCCAGGGGCAGACTCTTGTCCCCTCCCCGCAGACTCCTCCTGTGTGAATGAATGTGGAAGGGAAGGCAGAGGTGGCGCCTGCAAACCATCCGCACTGGGCCACTGTGCCCTCTAGTTATGATCATGGGCGATAGTGATCATCCCATGTAGATGCTGAGAAATTCTTAGAATGAGCATTTGTTGGAAATCTGCTTGTGTGGGTGGCAAAGACATGAGAGGTCTAGGGAAGAGCAGATTTTCAGACAAGGCACTTTAGGGAGGGGGAGGTACAGCCCTTTGGCCCAGAATGCCCATTGATGGAGAGGGCGGGTCAGGGGAGAGGGTATCTTAACCCTCAAGTGCCAGCGTAGTGATGAGGAAAGGCTGGCCTGGTGGGCCCCCCATGGACTAAGCATCCTTAGGCACTTCACCTGACTCCTCTGAGACTGTGGTGCCTCCTTCACCCCTGACCTGCCTGCTTTCTACCTAGCTTCTCCCGGTGCCCACTTGAGCCCAGCTGAGGCCTCAGGCCCTTGAGTGGCCTGGGGGTGGTAGAGGGACTTGGCCCGTGAGATCTGGCCATGGCTGCTCCATTTCGCAGAAGCCACTCTCACGGGCTGCCACCGAAGCACGGGCTTCCCCCTTTCCGGGAACCTGCCTCCTGCCAGCTTCCTCTCCTGTGACATCACTTCTCTTGTGATTCGCCCCACCATTTCCACTCACTCCCAGCCAGTGGGGACAGGCAGAACCATGGGTTCCCTAGGCCAGCTGGAGCCACCCCCGACCCGGCCTGGCCTGGCTATGGGGTGGCCCTTGTGTTCTCCGGAGCGCTAGTGGCCAGCACAGGCGGCAGCCACAGACACTTAGTAGGAACTTCAGTGTGGCTGACCTGAGCTGGGCTGGCCGTGCAGGAGAGTGCAAGCTGCTTCCTCCATGAGCTCACAGCCTGACGTCAGCAAGTGCTTCAAAGAAGTCATTTCCTATGCATGCCTTAAACCATGCCACAAGGGAGATACGATCACCCCTGTTTTACAAATGTGAAAACTAAAGCTTGCTGAGGGTGACCCAAGGTCACACAGCTTGTTCCTGGGGCAAAGCCAGGCTGCCAATTCAGCTCTGCAGCCCCAGGTCTAGAGCTCTGGCAATGCCAGGTGCTGCTCTCCTCCCCTCTTCAGCACTTGCCTTCTGTGACCCTCCTTCCCCTTTAATCTGTCTGTAGGTAAGGGCACGGGGGTGTGCATTCATCCACCCACGCACCCTTCTTTCCTTCTTCCTTCTTGTGTTCTCCCCACCCTTCCATCCATCCATCCATCCATCCATGCATCTATCCCTCCAGGCAGTACATCCTGACAGGGTCCCTGTCTACCTCCTGGATGAGGCAAGAAGGAAATATTCCCCATATCCAGAGAGGTGAGGAAGCAAGGCAGGCCACACGGTGCAAAAATGTGCCTTCAGACACTCAGTACTTTGTAGCCAAGATGAACTGGCAGGCATCGCAGCAGTCAGGCTTCTGGTGCTTCTTGGAGAGGGCTAGAGGGGAGCACTTGTTGGACGGGAGGCACTGGAGAGCCAGAGAATGTGCACCCTCCCCCAGAGAGTTCTGCAGCAGAAACAGAAAACTCAGATGGGCCAAGGGGCCAGGCCAGGGCTAGAGTCTATGATGGGGGGTAGGGTAGTCCAGTGGTGTTTTCGGGGCTTTTCTTTCTTTCTCTCTTTCTCTTTCTTTCTTTCTTTCTTTCTTTCTTTCTTTCTTTCTTTCTTTTTCTTTCTTTCTTTCTCTTTTTCTCCTTCTCCTTCTCCTTCTTCCTCTTCTTTCTCTTTCTTCTTTCTTCTTCCTTATTCTCCTTTTCCCTTCTTCTCCCTTCCTCTTCTCCTTCTTCTCCTTCTCTTCCTTCTCCTCCTCCTCTTTCTTCTTCTTCTCCTTCTCCTCTTCCTCCTCCTCCTTCTTCTTCTCCTCCTCCTTCTCCTCATTCTCTTTCTCCTTTCTTCCTCTTCATCTTTTCTTCTTCTTCTCCTCCGCCTCCTCCTTCCTCTTCCTCTTCCTCTTCCTCTTCTCCTTCTAAAGGAGCAGGAATCTGGATTATTATGTGAAATTAGCTCGCGACTCAATGAAGCAATTTCTACATGGTGCATAAACAGATTGTCTTTACGCTGAGTGACTCCGCTTGGGCCACTAGATTTCAGCCGCTGCCTTGAATTCCTCTCTGGCGCTTTCTAAGCAGACGCTTGTTCCAGGGATTCCACCACCTCTACCCGTGCTCCAGGCCTCCAGAGTGAGAACCAAACACTGCCCAGACAGACAGGTTCCCGGGTACACGGTGAGGCCCTGGGGAAAGGTTGCTGCCAGCTACAGACTGGTTCTAGGACTCTCCCTGGAGGTTGAGAGAACTTCCTGTAGCAGGCACAGGTGTCTTTGCCTTACAGCCCCTGCCCAAGGCTTGGGTGACACTACAGGTCCTCAACGCAGTTGCTTCTAGGGTGAAACGTTCCACTCCCCTCCAACCCCGGCTTGGGTTCCTTCTCTGTCTCCCCACAATCTCCCTGTGACTGTGGGAAGGGACACCCCAAGGCCCATGGGATGCGCTTGACTCCTCATTCCCCGCACTAGTCCTTCCCAACCCCTGGCTCCCCTGTCTACTTCCTGAGGTCCTTCTGTGAGGAAAACAATCCATGATAACTTTATAGACAAACAGACACCAAAACCTGCGTTTCCTGGGTTTTACAAGAGCAAGAGGGCCAGGCTTGCTCAGGGGCGCCCCCTGGCGGTGCCTCGTCCCCCACCGGCCCTGCTGGGCTGGGGGAACCATGGTCGGGGGTGGCGGCTCCCAACCTGTTCTGCCTCAGGACCCAGTCACTCTCCGCAAAATGACTGAGTACCCTAAAGAGTTTTTGCTTATACAGGTTATAGATCTATACTTGCAGCATTAGAAATTGAAACAAAATTTTAAAATGTTTATTAATTCTTTTAATATAATTATAAGCCCATTACACATTTGAATATAAATAACATTCTATGAAAATTAGTTGCATCCTCCAAAAGTAAAAACATTTAGTGACAAGAGTGCTGTCATTTTACATTTTTGTACATTTCTTTAACAACTGGCTTCACAGACTACAGGCGGGACCTTCGAATCTGCCTCCGAGTTCAATCAGTCCCGATGTCACACATCAGTCTCTGGAAAACTCGCCTGTCACCTTATGAGAGAATGAGGGCAAAAAAGGCAAATGATATCTGAGTGTTACTATAAACATGACTTTTGGACCCCCAGGGGTCCCCTGACTGTGCTTTGAGAACTGCTGGTTGGTGTAAGGGTAAGATCGTGGTCACTGTGGCCAGATAGACTTAGGGGGGTGCCAGAGTCTAGGCCAGGCGTGTGGAGGACATGGGGCATGTAGGGGGCTCAGACCTCAGAGCTCCTGTTGCAGTGGGAATTCGGAGCCCTCCCCTCAAGCAAGCTAGGTGAGCTCTTCTGGGTCCTGAGGCAAGATTCTGGCTCCACCTTGGCTCCTGCACTCTTGAGCCTCATCTGTAAAATGGGATGAGAGCAATTCCTCCCTCCCTGGGTGGAGGTGCTGCTTGAACCTCAGAATCCCCGTGCAATGAGGCCTTGTGATGCCATAGCCAATGAGGCTCAGCCCCAGCCACACACCTGGAGATGTTAAAACAGCCTCAAAGCTCATCTTCAGCTGTTCGGTGGCTAAGGAATTGATTAACTTATTGAACGGTTAAGTGCTTACCACATTCTAGAAGTTCTGGGGAAGTGCCTGGCCCTTGGGAATCATGGCCGGCTCCGCAGGGTGTTGGATTTGCTGTGGGATGTCCCCACTGGCCTTCAGGGGCATTCCTGATGCTCTCTGGATTTCCATCTGCTTTCTCTGCCAGGGGCATTTTCAGCTCTCCCTGCAGATTTTCAACCTGCACCCTGAGTGTGTTTCCCCCATCTGCAAAGCACTCTGATTTGCTCTGTGGAGGGCATTTCTATGAGCTGATGAAGCTGTCCCCATCTGTTCTGCAAGGGTGTCCCACCTGGGATGAAAAGGAACCCCCGGCTGCTGTGGAGGGAGGGTCCCACTGTCCTGGGGGAGTGGCTGCACCCACTCTGTGAAGTCATGCCGCTGCCCACTTGCTCTGTGGGGTGAGGTGCACCGGACTCTCTGCAGGAGGAACCCCTGGGCCCATGCCCTGGAGATGGGAGGGCTCCTACCTGTTCTCTGGTAGGAGAGAAAGACTCAGCCTCTCTGGAGATTCCCCCACCTGCTCTGTTTGAACAACGGTATCTTCTTGGTGGTGGTATGGCAGGGGTGCAGGGGCGGTGTTGTCCAGCAGGGATGTGAGGGTGCTCCCACAGCTGGGGGTGGTCCCACCCCGTGTGGCCATGCACAGAGAAGGTGCTGCCCATCAGCACTAAGCTACTGGTCATGGGAGAAGGACTGGTCCTTCCCTCAAGCCCACAGTGTCACAGGGAGGCAGGAGGGTTGGTGCCTAAATGGGGAGCACTGCTGCCCCCTCGTCCCACACCAAGCTCAAGGCAGATGACCGTGCACATCTGTGGACAGTGGGGCAGTCAAGGGCTTTTGCCTCAACTGACACATTGAAGCCTTTTGTCAGATTCAAGATCAACAGAAATAATTTTTCCTTTCTTTCTTTCTCTTTCTTTCTTTTCTTTTCTTTTTTCTTTCCCTCCCTCTCTCCCTTTCTTTCTTTCTCTTTCTCTTTCTTCTTTCTTTCTTTCTTCCTTTCTTTCTCTTTCTTTCTTTCTTTTTCCCTCCCTCCCTTCCTTCCTTCTTTCCCTCCCTCCTTCCTTCCTACCTTCTGTCTCTTTCTTTCTTTTTTTGACGTACTTTCGTTCTTATTGCCCAGGCTGGAGTGCAATGGCACGATCTCGGCTCACCGCAACCTCTGCTTCCTGGGTTCAAGCGATTCTCCTGCTTCAGCCTCCCGAGTAGCTGGGATTACAAGCATGTGCCACCATGCCTGGCTAATTTTGTATTTTTAGTAGCAACGGGGTTTCTCCATGTTGGTCAGTCTGGTCTCGAACTCCCGACTTCAGGTGATCCACCCACCTCAGCCTCCCAAAGTGCTGGGATTATAGGTGTGAGCCACTGCGCCCAGCCAATTTTTCTTGTTTTATAAGGGAGGAAGGTGAGGCTCAAAGAAGGACCCTGACTTGCTAGAACCTCACAGTTCACAGGTGACTGTGACTAGAATTGAGTTTTTTATCTGGCAGGCAATGGGGAGCCATTGAAGATTTTTGAGCAGGGCAGTGGCATAGCCAGGCTAGTTTCTAGAAGATGACTCTGGGGGTGCACTCATCTAAGGGAGAAATCAGGGCAGAGGAGGCACAGCGGGCGTGCAGCTCCCCCTGCCCCTCTGGCTGCCTGTCCTTGCTCTGTCTGTGCACGGGACCCAGGAGACCAGCCAGTGCAGCCCTGAGTCGTCTCTGACTCCCCCCAGGCTGTGTGGCTTGCGCATCCTGCAGCCCTACGCCGAGAGGATCCCCGTGGTGGCCACGGCCGGGATCACCATCAACTTCACCTCCCAGATCTCCCTCACCGGGCCCGGTGTGCGGGTGCACTATGGCTTGTACAACCAGTCGGACCGTGAGTATGGGCAGCCGGGGGAACCCCCTGCAGTGACTCGCTGCCTCTTGGCCATCCCTGGAACCACCAAGGGGGCTGTGGGCAGCTGCTTATGAGGCTGAACAAAAGGAGAGAGAGAGTGTGTGTGTGTGTGTATGTGCTTGCACAAATTTATGCAGCTTTGTGTGCCCACGTGTGCAAGGCAGCCACAAGGGTTTGCAGGAATACACACTCATACATATCCACGTGTGTGTTGTGTATTCTGTGTGTGTGTCTGGATATGTATGTCTGCTTGGACTGTGTACACAGGTGCCCAGGACCACGTCTGTGGGTGCCTGTCCATGCGCGTGTGAGTGAACAGGTGCATGCGTGTCTTTGTGCGCCTTCGCGGCTACGCATGGCCTAATGGCGCCCTGCCTGCCTCCACGGTCCCCTGTGGTTTTGCAGCCTGCCCTGGAGAGTTCCTCTGTTCTGTGAATGGACTCTGTGTCCCTGCCTGTGATGGGGTCAAGGACTGCCCCAACGGCCTGGATGAGAGAAACTGCGGTGAGTAACCCGCCCGCGCATCCCTCCTCTCCCTGCCCATCCCTTCTCCTTCCTCACCTTTCCTGCTCTGAGCTGAGTGGAGACCCCACTTCTACATGCAGCTTCCATTATGAGCACCCAGGAAGTGGGGTTCTCTCACTGTGCCGGGGTGGCAAAATGAGACAGACCAGCAATGCAGCCTCCCCGAGACCACCTCGTGGGACAGTGGCAGGGAGAAGTGGGGAGCCAGGTCTCCTGACTTCCAGCTCAGGGCCATCACCCCCAGCCCCTGTCCCAGCCAGCCTTCCAGGAAGGAACAGAATGGGTGAGGGAGATGTCCCCCTCCTCTGCCCTGTCAAAGGTTTAAATATGTGGGAAGAGGGAAGCGAGATGTTCATGGTGGGGGGATGATCCTGCCACGGTGCTGGGGGAGGTACCTCATATTCAGAAACTGAACATCTGGCTTCAAGTTCTGGCTCAGCCAAGTGACCTTGGACAAGTCACCTCATCTGTTTCCACCAGTGAAATGGGGTATCTCACAGGGTTGCTGTGAAACTTTGGGTGTAAAATAGCAGAGAAAGAGGCCGGGCGCAGTGGCTCATGCCTGTAATCCTAGCACTTTGGGAGGCGGAGTCGAGCGGATCACCTGAGGTCAGGAGTTCAAGATCAGCCTGGCCAACATGGTGAAACCCCGTCTCTACTAAAAATACAATAATTAGCTGGGCGTGGTAGCAGGAGCCTGTAATTAATCTCAGCTACTCGGGAGTCTGAGGCAGGAGAATCGCTTGGACCTGGGAGGTTGCAGTGAGATCATGCCATCGCACTCCAGCCTTCGTGACAAGAGCGAGACATAAAAATAAAGTAGCAGAGAAAGAGATTTGTGATTGGTAACGTGCAATACAGCACACCTTCTACAGGCATCGCCAAGCCCCGGCTGGCTCCTCTGGCTTCCTCCCACCTGTCCCCTCTCTGTGTCCCCACACAGTTTGCAGAGCCACATTCCAGTGCAAAGAGGACAGCACATGCATCTCACTGCCCAAGGTCTGTGATGGGCAGCCTGATTGTCTCAACGGCAGCGACGAAGAGCAGTGCCAGGAAGGTAGGGCAGGCCTAGCCGAGTGTCTGGAGGGACACCAAAGGCAGTCTAGGCCTGCTACATGCTTCAGCAAAAGTTTCTAGCTTCTCCTCTCAACACCCACCAACCCCTCTGTATTTACATCTGTATGTCTGTCCATTCATCCATCCATCCATCCATCCATCCATCCATCCATCCATCCATCCATCTTCTGGTCTCCAATCACCGTCTGTCCATTGATTCATACAGCTACCCATTTATCTATGCATCTACTGACCTGTGCAACCATCAATCTCCCTATCATCAAACTGTCAATCTACCCATTTATTGGTTTGGCTGACTACTGGTCTATATGGCCACTGTTCCATCCATCCATCCATCCATCCATCCATCCACCCACCCATCTACCCACCCACCCATCCACCCATCCATCATCCATCCGTCCATCATCCATCCATCCATCATCCGTCTATCCATCCATCCATCCATCCATCATCCATCCATCCACCCATCGTCCATCCGTCCATCATCCATCCATCCATCCATCATCCATCCATCATCCATCTATCCATCCATCATCCTTCCACCCATCCGTCATCCACCCATCGATCATCCATCTGTCCATCATCCATCCATACATCATCCATCTATCCATCCATCCATTCATCCATCCATCATCCATGCATCATCCATCCATCATCCATCCATCCATCCATCATCCGTCTATCCATCCATCCATCATCCATCCATCCATCCATCATCCATCCGTCCATCATCCATCCATCCATCATCCATCTATCCATCCATCCATCCGTCCATCATCCATCCATCCATCATCCATCCATCATCCATCCGTCCATCACCCATCCATCCATCATCCATCCATCCATCATCCATCCATCCATCATCCATCCGTCCATCATCCATCCATCCATCGTCCATCATCCATCCATCCATCCATCATCCATCCATCCATCATCCATCCATCCATCCATCATCCATCCATTCATCCATCATCCATCCATTCATCCATCATCCATCTGTCCATCGTCTATCCATCCATCATCCATCATCCATCCATCCATCCATCCATCCATCCATCATCCATCCATCCATCATCCATCAATCCATCAATCCATCATCCATCCATCCATCATCCATCGATCCATCATCCATCCATCCATGCACCCATCCATCATCCATCCATCCATCCATCATCCATCCATTCATCCATCATCCATCCATCCATCATCCATCCATCCATCATCCATCCATCCATGCAACCATCCATCATCCATCCATCCATCATCCATCCATCCATCATCCATCCATCCATCCATCATCCATCCATCCATTCATCCATCATCCATCCATCCATCATCCGTTCATCCATCATCCATCCATTCACCCATCATCCATCCATCCATCATCCATCCATCATCCGTCCATCCATCATCTGTCCATCATCCATCCATCCATCATCCATCCAACCATCCATCATCCATCCATCCACCATCCATCCATTCATCCGTCAGCCATCCATCCATCCATGCACCCATCCATCATCCATCCATCCATCCATCCATCATCCATCCATCATCCATCCATCATCCACCCATCCATCATCCATCCATCCATCTACCCATCCATCCACCCATCCATCCACCCATCCACTGATCTCCCTAGCCCCCTGTCTGTCCACTGGTCCTTATATCCACACGTTTATCCAACCTTCTAGCTGTCTGTCAGTCTCCCTAATGGACCACCACTCCACCCATTGGCTTGTCTGCTCAGTCTTCTGTCTGGGTCTATTTATCCATCCATCCATCTACCCATCCAACTGACCAACTGACCAACACTTGCAGGCTACCCAGCGATAGGCAAGGTGCAGTAAGGAAGTGAGAATAAAACAGCAGAGATGCAGGCCCTGCCTTCCAAGGCTCATCTGTTAGTAGGAGGATATGATGGGTGACTCTCCTGCCTTGTAGGAAGATTGGAGGGCAGGGAGGAGGTCAGACATGAAAAGCTTCCTGGAGGAGGTAGGTGTTTGGCCCTTGGTGAGAGCTAAAACTTAAATAGGCAGGAGGAAAGGAGAGAGGCAAAGACCAAGTGGTGGAGTGGAAAGTTCTTTACAGTGAAGAGCAGGGAGGAAAATGTGGACAACCGGGCAGGGCCAGAGCCTGGGAGATTGCCAGGCTAGGTGCGGACCCTGGTCTAAAAGTGGAGGCACAGTTCTGCCTTCAAGTTCCACACTGGAGGGGGAGGCATGATCTTGTGGTCAGGATCTCCAGTCTGAGAATGGAGACACCACTTTGTGCTCAATAGGCCAGTCTGAGTGGAGGGGCTGTGGGGGGCGGGGGGACATGGCCTGCTTTTAGGAGACCCTAAAGGAGACTCAGGAAAAGACTCTCTAGTCACCTCCTGGCTCTTCTGGCTCCATCGTTCCTGCACCCCACTTTGGAAGGTTTCCTTGGGGCTCAGAGACCCACCTTCTGTGCCCTGCCCCCATCCCCTCTGTCCCAGGGGTGCCATGTGGGACATTCACCTTCCAGTGTGAGGACCGGAGCTGCGTGAAGAAGCCCAACCCGCAGTGTGATGGGCGGCCCGACTGCAGGGACGGCTCGGATGAGGAGCACTGTGGTGAGCCCTGCCTGGCTGCCGGGGCCCTGGAGCTTGGGAGGGAGGGGGTGCCCACAGCAGGAAGCTGGAGGGAAATCTCACTGTTGTCCCCTGGTCTCTCTCTATCTCATCCTCTGCCCCCTTGCCTGGGTCCTGATGGTCTCTCCCCCTCCATCATTCTCCTGTTCTCTGTCTCTCCATCTCTTTCCTTTGCCCTTCCTCTCTGTCTGCTTCTCCCCTTCCCCTCCTCCTCTGTCCACCCCACCACCTGCCCCCATCCCCAGACTGTGGCCTCCAGGGCCCCTCCAGCCGCATTGTTGGTGGAGCTGTGTCCTCCGAGGGTGAGTGGCCATGGCAGGCCAGCCTCCAGGTTCGGGGTCGACACATCTGTGGGGGGGCCCTCATCGCTGACCGCTGGGTGATAACAGCTGCCCACTGCTTCCAGGAGGACAGGTGAGCGGGAGGGTGTGGGGGCCTAGGCAGTAAGAGACAAGGGCAGGGAAGGCCCGGTGGGAGGTGCACTGTGTCTGAGCTCTTTGCAGATAGAGGGAAGGGTGGTGGACCCCCCAGACAGGCTACTGTGATGTGAGTTCTAGTCCTGGCTCCACCAGGACCTTCTGGGTCCCCGGACACATTGTTCCACCTCTCTGCCATCTACTTTTGGTATCTTGCTTTAAGTTGGGCCAGTAATTCATTCATTCATCTCATTCACTCATTCAGCAACACTTGTGCTCCTACTATGTGCCAGGGCTGTGCTAGATGCTGGGGATTCAGTAAAGGACAGAACTGCCCAACCTGGTCATAAGCTATGACACTCCCCGAGGTGTGACACGAGGTAGCAGGTGGGGCTGGGGAGCCCCCAGGGGACATCTCATCAGGCCTCATGGCCATCTTTCCCATCTGCTTGGTGGGCTGAAACCTCCCCCAATCCACCCCCAGACAGATCTGGGCTCCAGATCCCGCCCCCAGGCCCTGCACAGGGATCCCCTTTTGTATCCTCTCTGGGACGCAGGGCGCTCTGACCACCTAGCTCTCTTTAACCCCATCTCAGGCTCCCCACTGCCCTCAGGTAGAGGGTAGAGACCCGAAGGCTGCCCATCTGCCACCCAGGCAGCTGACTGCCGCAGTCCAATTCCTCCACGCTCAACTCCCACCCGCTCCCCACTAGGACCCACCAGCCTCAGGGAATTCAGAGCAGCCTGGGTCTGTAAAGCACACAGGAAAAAAGAAATCTGTGTCGGGGGCCTGGCACTGTGCTACATTTTTTAGATACACGGTCTTATTGGATTCTCTCAAGAACATTCGAGTAGAAAATGCCATTCCCATTTGCAGATGAGGTGGCAGAGGCTTAGAGAGGCACACCCATGTCTAGGGAGGGATGAAGCTGGGGCGTGGAACCCAGGCAGGCCGAGTGGGTGAAGGCTGAACGCTGTACCACCAGCTAGGCGACCTTCAGGGAGGGAAGGGAGGGCTGGGTGTGGAGGGCACTGTCCCGGGCGGGGATCTGGCTATCTTGAGGGTCCCTGGATGGGGAGAGGCAGCTTCCTCCCACCTCACCTCACCCCACCCCACCCCACCCCACCCCACCCCAGCATGGCCTCCACGGTGCTGTGGACCGTGTTCCTGGGCAAGGTGTGGCAGAACTCGCGCTGGCCTGGAGAGGTGTCCTTCAAGGTGAGCCGCCTGCTCCTGCACCCGTACCACGAAGAGGACAGCCATGACTACGACGTGGCGCTGCTGCAGCTCGACCACCCGGTGGTGCGCTCGGCCGCCGTGCGCCCCGTCTGCCTGCCCGCGCGCTCCCACTTCTTCGAGCCCGGCCTGCACTGCTGGATTACGGGCTGGGGCGCCTTGCGCGAGGGCGGTGAGCAGCGGGGACTTGCGGCGGGAGGCGGAGGGAGACCGTGCGGATCTGCGCCGTAACACCTGGCCTGGAGAAGGGCGGGGCTGGGGGTCCCGGGGCTCCACCCCATAGGCCCTCTAGTGCTGGGATTCAAATTGGGCTGAATTTTACGGTAGAAAACCACCATTTAATGCGGCCTGTAGGCCCCTGCCCCTCCCCTCCTAGCTCTTCCCTTCCTTCTGGAAGGGCGTTATGTGTGGGGCAAAGGGGCAGGTCTGGGACGCCACTGCCCACGTGCAAGCTCCACCTGCTGTTCCTTGGGCTGCAAGGGTGGAAGGCTCTTAATTACTAGCACTTTCCACATCCAGGCTGGATTTTAGGGGAACTTGACTTCATATAATCCACCCAACAGCCCTACGGGCGGATGCTGTGGCCCTATTTTATGGATGGAGAAACCAAGGCTCAGAGACATGTTGCTGTAAGTCACACAGCCAGAGAGGACTGGAGCAAAGATTAGAACCCAGGGCTGGCTGCCTCCAGAGCCCCTGCTCTTCCTGCTACTGCTCTCAGAAACAGGGTCTCTCCCCTTTCTACGTTCACTGACCAGAGTCCCTGGCGGCCACCGCACAGTTTTGGGGACACAGACCCAGCTGGCAAACCTACAGACATGCCCTGCAGCGTTAGTGTTGGTGGCTTCAAAAATGTGTACAGTGACTTACAATCTGGAAGCAGGCGGGGCCGCAGAGATATTTTAAGGATGGGGAAACTGAGGCTCAGAGGAACAGTGACTTACCCAAGGGGATGGCAGTGGTCATGGCAAAGCAAAGGCTGGTTCATTCACTATTCCTTCACTCATTCAGTCACTCAATGACACTTTCTGAGCACCAAGTACGTACCAGGCGTGGGGTTAGGGGAAGGGTACATAAGGATGAAGAGAGAACATTCTCGGGGGAGACAGACAGTGGTAAGAGCTGACATGGATGGGGAGATGCAGGAACAGTGGAGACACAGAGGAGGCTCCTGCCCAGCTAGGGTCAGGGGAGGCTTCCAGGGGAGGGTTGTTTAAGCTGAGGCCTGGAAGATGAGTTGGCAACATTCAGACAAAGGGGAAAGACATTCAGGTGAAGACACAGGTGCCAAGACAGGAAGATGTGAGAACATCCGCAGCCTGCCAGAGGGGCTGAGGTGGGGGGCAGGCGTGCCTGGGCGAGGAGCAACCAGAATGGCAGACAGGGCCTTGGGCGAGGAGCAACCAGAATGGCAGACAGGGCCTTGCCGGCCAGCATAAGGATCTTAGGCCAGGAGTTCTCCCTCCTACCTGCACCTTAGAACCATACGGGGAGTTTCAAGAAAAACTGCGTATCAAGGCTCCCCGGGGGACTGTGATATGCAGCCCTCGTGGAGAAGCGCTAGGGCAGACTGCAGAGTTGGGGCACTGCAGAGTTCTAAGGAAACCATGAAGGGATCAGATGTGGGCTTCGGAGACATCTGCAGGTGCTGTAACAGAGCAGCGAGGAGCCAGCCAGAGCCCAGAGGTGCCTCAGCAGACAGAGGTGGGGGACAAGAAGCTGGAGGAAGACACTCATCCACACGGGCTTTTTTCTTTTTTCTTTTTTTTGTTTTTTTGAGACAGAGTTTCGCTCTTGTTGCCCAGGCTGGAGTGCAATGGCGCGATCTCGGCTCGGATCCCCCTCCTCCCGGGTTCAAGCGGTTCTCCTGCCTCAGCCTCCTGAGTAACTGGGATTACAGGCATGTGCCACCACACCCAGCTAATTTTGTATTTTTAGTACAGACAGGGTTTCTCCATGTTGGTCAAGCTGGTCTCAAACTCTTGACCTCAGGTGTTCCGTCCGCCTCAGCCTCCCAAAGTGCTGGGATTACAGGCATGAGCCACCGTGCCCGGCCCTCCACATGGGCTTTGGTCGGGGGCTGTCACCATGAACCCCACAGAGAAAGAGCTAGAATAAAGTGACAGGGAGGCAGAGGGGCAGGTGCGACCCTAGCAGGGGTAAGGGTGGGCAGAGCAGGAGAGAAGTAGGCTCCTGAGATGCAAAGGGAATAATGTTAGGGAGAATAGAGAACAGGGGCTCCAGGCTCCTGAGATCTCACTTCTGCCCTTGACCACGGACAGGCCCCATCAGCAACGCTCTGCAGAAAGTGGATGTGCAGTTGATCCCACAGGACCTGTGCAGCGAGGTCTATCGCTACCAGGTGACGCCACGCATGCTGTGTGCCGGCTACCGCAAGGGCAAGAAGGATGCCTGTCAGGTGAGTCCCCCGGGCATGGGAGGGAGAGAGGAGGGAGAAAGGATGCTGCCCACATCACCAGGGTCTGGCCCTTTGCTCACATCAGCCTGCTGAAGCCTCCCATCCTCCCAGCAAGGTGGTGATGGCCACCCCTACTTTACAGAAGAGGAGACTGGGGCTTAGAAAGGTTGAGGAGCTTGCCCAAGGTTGCAGAGCCACAGATCAGAAGAGATGCTGTGATGGGCAGGTGTTAGGCTCAAACCCAGTTCTGCTCCTTGCCCACCACAAGGCACTAGGCCCAGGGTCCCACAGTGAGGTGGATGCATGGAAGAAGAAAGGGGTGTCAGCCACAGAAGGGAGGCGGAGGCAGAGTGGGGGCGTGGGGACACAGCCACAGTTCCAGGAGGTCCCAGGCTGGCTGGAGGCCGGGGAGGGCTGGCTTGGGCTCTCTCCATTTAGCAGGCGAGGGGAAAGCAGAGCTTTAAGACTGAACGTGACTCTGGCACCCAGTCAATTCCCAACAGTCAGGACTTAATCCCTATGGCTCTTCACCTGGAAAAGGGGGTGCCCTTACCCTGCTTCAGTCCTTTCTCCTTTCCCCCTTTCAGGGTGACTCAGGTGGTCCGCTGGTGTGCAAGGCACTCAGTGGCCGCTGGTTCCTGGCGGGGCTGGTCAGCTGGGGCCTGGGCTGTGGCCGGCCTAACTACTTCGGCGTCTACACCCGCATCACAGGTGTGATCAGCTGGATCCAGCAAGTGGTGACCTGAGGAACTGCCCCCCTGCAAAGCAGGGCCCACCTCCTGGACTCAGAGAGCCCAGGGCAACTGCCAAGCAGGGGGACAAGTATTCTGGCGGGGGGTGGGGGAGAGAGCAGGCCCTGTGGTGGCAGGAGGTGGCATCTTGTCTCGTCCCTGATGTCTGCTCCAGTGATGGCAGGAGGATGGAGAAGTGCCAGCAGCTGGGGGTCAAGACGTCCCCTGAGGACCCAGGCCCACACCCAGCCCTTCTGCCTCCCAATTCTCTCTCCTCCGTCCCCTTCCTCCACTGCTGCCTAATGCAAGGCAGTGGCTCAGCAGCAAGAATGCTGGTTCTACATCCCGAGGAGTGTCTGAGGTGCGCCCCACTCTGTACAGAGGCTGTTTGGGCAGCCTTGCCTCCAGAGAGCAGATTCCAGCTTCGGAAGCCCCTGGTCTAACTTGGGATCTGGGAATGGAAGGTGCTCCCATCGGAGGGGACCCTCAGAGCCCTGGAGACTGCCAGGTGGGCCTGCTGCCACTGTAAGCCAAAAGGTGGGGAAGTCCTGACTCCAGGGTCCTTGCCCCACCCCTGCCTGCCACCTGGGCCCTCACAGCCCAGACCCTCACTGGGAGGTGAGCTCAGCTGCCCTTTGGAATAAAGCTGCCTGATCCAAGCCCCGCTGCTGGAGTTTGAATGGGACCCAGGCACCAGCCTCATGCCCTTGACTGGAGCAGCCCCTGCTTCCTGCTCAGCCTGTTTGACAAGTGTCCAGAAGGCCAAGGTGGGCTCAGTGGCAGTGGGCGTGGCCACTGAGGGCTGGGGCCTGCAGGGCAGCTGCCCAGGTCCCAGAAGAAATGCCAGGAAGGCAATCATTTGGGGACCCTCAGGTCAGAGGGATGTGAGGAGCAATCGTCTCCTTTTGGAACCTTAGGAGGAAACTGAGGCTCAGAGAGGCGGTTAAGACATCCTCATAGTGGCACTGGGGGTTAGGAGTGGAGGTGGCATAGACTCCTGTCTCCCAGCTCCCTGTCTGCCAAGGCCCCGTCCAGTGCGACACTCCCTTCCTTTGCATTCTTTGAGCCACTGAATAAAGCCTTGGGCTCCAACCATGTGCCAGCACTATGCTGGGGCCACAGGGGTGAAGGACCTGGCTCCTGACCCCAGGAGCAGTGGGGATGATCCAGTGGGAAGGGGCCGGAGGGGAGCGTGGACTGGGCAAGTCAAGGCAAGCTGCCTGGAGGCTGTGAGACTTGAGCTGGGGTTCAGAGGTGGTCCAGGTGGGAATATCCGGGAAGGATATTCCAGGCAGGGAAGAGCACGTGCAAAGGCACAGTCCCGGAAGAATGAGGCACGCTAGGACCCAGCAAGCCGAGTGAGTGTTAGAACAGAGCTCGAGAGGATGACTCAAGAATTCAGAGGGGCGAACTGAGGCGGGATAGCAGAGCCTGGGGTTGAGCCAAGGATTTGATCTTGAAAGCTCTGGGGAGCCACGGTGGGCTCTATAGCATAGGAGTGACATGAGAGGATTCACATTTTGGAACCAGCCTTGGCACCAGTGTGCAGGGAGCGGCAGGCAGGGAGGCTGGTTAGGAGGCCACCGCAGGATTCCAGGATGGAGAGGATGGGCCGGGACTGAGCAGCGCCATGGGATGGACTGGAGGATGATTTTAGACCCCTGGGGGCAGTTGTGATGGAGGCAGGGGGCTCGCTGGAGGTGAGGGTGGACGGTCAAGTGTGGACAACTCTTTCTAGACGCCTAACTGGGAGCGGAAGGGAGAGAGGGAGCTTCAGAGGGGCCCCAGACTGAAGAGGGGTTTTTCCAACATGGGCGCTGCTGCCAGGTCTGTGGGTGAATGAGGCAGAAGGGGAACCAGGGACGGGGAGCACCCACCTGGGTCCTGCCAGGACGAGCCGGAGCAGCTGGGTGGGCAGGGAGCGTCTCCAGAGCAGGTGGGCAGAACACATGCAGAATACCTTGGGTGATCTGGAATCACCCTGGGCCCTACCTCAGTCTTCATCGGAATCCTGGAGGGCGGGGGACGTGTCATCTGTTCTCCTAACAAGCCTCCTGGTGACTCTTTTGCAAGGATAGTTGGACCCTAAAAATGAGTCCAGCTTTGGAGTGGAGTGTCCTCAGGGGAAGTGGCGAGGCCCTCCAGGCTTGAGCTGGCAAGAGGGTGCCCCCGCCCCAGCCTGTGGAAGGCCTGCGCCTTAGGGGCTCACTGCCCGGCAGGATTTCCTCGAGCAGCGGGGAGGACTGAGGAGTTGAAGGAACTGGCCAGGGTGGGTGGAGGGTCTGGGGTCTGGGCTGGGTCCAGCAGGGTCAGAGAAGGGAGAGGGCGGGGTGTTTATATTTCCTAGGATTTTGGGCAGAGGGGTGGCAGCAATAGGGAGGGATGGCGGTGGCCCAGGTGTCAGAGTAGAAGTGGAGGGGGCGCGCTGAGAGGTTTAGGATGTGGCAGAGGCAGCCCAGGGCTCTCCCTAGAGTTCTGTTTTCTGGCTCCCGGCCAGGTAGGGCAGGTGCTCTGGTATCCGGCCCCAGGGCAAAGGATATAGCCAGTTCCCCAAGCCCTCCCTGCAACACACACAGGAAAATGACAACAGGGCAGCGTCCCTGGGCTTTTGGGACAAAGCCGCGTTCCTTTGGACCAGACTACCACACCTTTAGTTTAGCCCCGTCCCCAAAAGTGGCCCAGAGAAAGAGGGCAACAGCCAGGCTGGGCTGTTCCTTTGGGTTTTATTACATGGTGGGGTCGGACACAGCTGAGAAGCAAGGACCCATCCCGGGAAGTCAAACACAGGAGGGCCCCTGGCTCAGCCGCCATACCCACTCTCCCCGGGCAGTTCCTGAGTCCTCCACCGCCCCTGCCCAGCCCCTTCTGCTGCCTCTCCCCGCCCCCCAGGCCAGGCGCTGGGCCAGCAATGCAAATGGCTGGGGGTGGGATCACCAAAGAGAAGGCCAAGCCAACTACCCCTACTCTGCCAGGCCAGCTCCCCACAACCTGCATCCCCAATACCTGAATCTCCATTTGCAAACACAGTGTTATGCCCAGGGGTCGGGCTGGGTCCTTCCCATCCCAGGGCAGCTGAAGGTGGGCGGCCCCTATATACTGCCTGAGGGCCTTCAGGGACTTTGCTCCTCTGTGCACCCTCACAACAACCCTGTGAGGTAGGTGGGGTGGGAGGAGTGACCCCCTGGACTAAGGCTCAAGGAGGCAATGTGACCGGGCCAGGAAGGAGCACATCCACCATGCAGCAGGGGAGCCCGGGAGAGGGGACGCAGGTGCCGGAGAGACACAGCCAGACATTGCCACACATCTGCCATGAGCAGTCCACTCTGCCCAGAGGTCCTGGGGCCCACCTTGGGCCTTAAGAGGTCCCAGGGGGGCCCCGCCCCGCCCCTGGAGGCAGGAGTAAGTCACAGCCCCACGGGTGCAGACAGAGGAGGCCGGGGAGAGGGTGCTTCTTCCTTCTCAGGCCCGGGGCCCACCCCATGGTACAAAAATAAAGGATTTCAGATGGGAACCCCAAGTCCCTGGAGGTGATCTGGGGCCTCACATCCGGGTGCCTCTGGCTTGTAACAGCTAGAAAAAAAAGAGGGGAAGGGCAGGAGGATGGGAGGGGCGGAGGTGGGGCCGGTAAGGAGGGGGTGATGCAGGGCAAGGGGGCGGAGAGGAGATTGACGGGTGGGGGAGAGGGAGAGAGAGAGAGGCAGTTGAGTCACAGGCTTCCTTCTGGAGGAGGGGGTGGGGCTGAGGCCCAAAGAAGGTGGATTCAGAACTGAGTTGGGGGGAGCAGCAAGGGCTCCCCAACTAACCCATCCAGGAGCCCCATGCCCCGTCTTGGGCTCGGTGGCGGCCACCTACAGAGGCCAGATTCTGCCAAGACTCTGAAGGGGGTGGGATGGGGGTTGCTCAGGGCTGGGAGAGGCACTGATGCCCCAGGCGAAAGAAGCCACAGGGAGCAGCTGTCTGTCCCAATTTTAGAGGCAATTGTGGCCCAGAGAGGGACAGTGACTTGCCCAAGGTCACAGAGCAGGCAGAAAAGAGTGGGATAGGGGGCTTGTGGGCACATGGCCAGGGCTTTTTCTGCCACTCTGCAATCCTTAAGCCACTCTGGCTGACACTTCATGGGCCAAGGGTATCCAAAAGTGGCCTGTCCTCCCCATCCCCACAGAAATAGGGGATGCCACAAGGCAGTGACACAGGAGCTCCTGGATGTGCAGGGACTTGGCCAGGGCCTCTGGCTTCAGCGGTCCCTCCCTCCCCACCAGCCTGGCTCTGGTGCTGATGGGCTGGTAGGAAAGTTCCCACTCCCTAACTTTCTTCTCCTCTCAGAGCCTCACCCCCAAGGCCAAGGTCGGATGAGAAACTTTGGTGGGTGGAGATAATCAGCCGAAAGCTCGGCTCAAGTCCAAGGATCAAGAGATGAGCACCCTCCTCGCTCCACCCCTCCCTCCAGCACCGCCAAGCTACAAACCAGGGATGGCAGCTCTGGGGGCGGGCGAGGGGCCGAGGAGAAGCCCTCACTGCAAGCTCAGCCTCAGGTCTGAGAGGGTGCGGACGGGAACCTGCAAGGAGGAAACGTGAGGAGGAGGCCGGGAGGAGAGGAGGGGGGGCAGGGCCTGCAGCCAGGGCCCAGTCTCAGAGGTGCCCGGCAGGGTTAGTGGGCACAGAGGAGGTGCAGCTGCGCCCCTCCTCCCCAGGCTGGGAGGCAGGAGGTACCAGAAGGGGCGCAGGAGGCGGCAGGCAGGACGCTCTGGGATGCAGGGCCAGGGGGCCTGGGTGGAGGGCACGGGAGGCTGGGACCAGGGCAGACCCGGGATGGAGGCGTGAGCAGGCAGAGAGAAAACCCGGACAGGGGCAGAGAGGGAAGAGGCAGGGTGCAGATGAGATCCAGGAGGAAGAAGAGGTGGATGAAGATGAGGCAGGACCTCCAGCGGGAAGCGGAGGAGGAGGCAGTGGTGGGAGGGAGAAAAGGTTAGCGGGATCCTGAGATGACTGGGCTGCAAAGAGAAAGTGAGAGAAGGGATGGTTATGCGGGTGAGGCGCCAGGCAAGTGGCTGAGCTAACCCTGGTGCCCCCCCAGCAGCCCCGGGGCCCCCGGTTCTGCAGCTGGCTCCAGCAAGGAGTGGGCGGGAGGCTCCGGCTTTGCTTAGCAATCATCCTCCTGGGGGTTGGCTGCACCTTTCTCCTGTGCATCTGCCTCCACCTGCACCTGTTCCACCTCCACCTCCTCCACCTCCTCCTCCTGCTGCTGCTGCTCCTCCAGCTGCTCCTCCGTGCTCTGTGAACCAGCCGGCGGACCCAGGGAAGAAAGAGTGGAGACACTAACAGAGGGGCCAGGGCCTGCTGGCTATCCCCAAAGACCCGGTCTCAGGCAAGGTGAAAGGGACCTCAGGAGAGGGGAGGGCTCCAGCCACAGAAGCTGGGGGCATCTTCTCCGGTCCCCTGGGCAGCTTGGGGAGGGCCTGGGGAAAGCAGCTGAGGATGGGATGCTGTGGGCATGCTCCGGGGTCAGCCTGGCTGCTGTTACATAGAGCGAGGCTGGAGGGAGGGGATGAAGCAGAACAGGGAGGGTGTGGGACTGGGGTATCCCTGAGGGGTGCCTGGGAAGGCCTTGTTTGGAAAGACTGCTCCTCAGTAGAAATGTGGCCAAGGAAGCCCCAGGGCAGACACCACCCAGATCTGGGATGCCAGCCAGTCTCTGACACCCCAGGTCCAGGGGCTTTGGCCCAAAGAGGCAGAAGGAGCAGTCTCGCTCTGCACCCTTGCAGGGCAGCGTCAGCCCTGGCAGTGGTGGGGGTGGGTGGGCAGGCAGGGTGCGTCACAGCAGGACAGGGAGGCAGACAGATAGACAGGAAGCCAGAGGTAAGCCTCCACTGTGTGGGGTTGGGCCCCAGGAGGAGCAGCCTGCCTTCTTCCCAGCCTGGTTCACGCCTGCTCTGTGGCTCTGCGAAGGCCCTTGGGACTTCCCACAGCACTGGGTCCAGGATGGCAGGACCCCCGCTCAGCCCTCTCCCCACAGTGGTACAGTGGATGCTGCCAGGGTGCTCTCAGGAGGCTGCCTCAACAGGCCAGGCGGACACACAGGACTGGCAGCCACCAGGCTGCCCCTATCCTGCAGAGCAGCCAAGGAGGGGGCCTGGGAAAGGGGCAGGATTTACAGCGGTGGCTTCCTCATCCTGGCTCAGGCCAGCTGGGGACATGCACCTGTCCCTGGGGAATAAACGGCCATTTGGGATCCCAGAAGTTCCAGGCTCCAAGGCACTACAAAGAGTATGTGATCCTCCCCTCTCACTTCAGAGAGTGCAGCAAAGGTGCTGGGAGAGGACAAGCCCTGTCCTAAGTCACACAGAGAGTGCCACACTGTGCCCTGACCCCTAGTCCATGCCACAGTGCCCAGTGGCCACTAAGCGGCCCCCTTCATGTAGCCTCTGAGTCCACGCCGGCTGCACCCTGGGGATGCTCTCATTTCACTGCTCCCAGCCTGGGCCTGGGTAACGGCAGGTGGCATGGGATGGATGGCGGTGGCTGTGAGCATGGGGTTGTGCATGGGCGGTGGCGGGAGAGAGGTGGAGGGATGGTGCAGGCGCAGGGGCGGGACAGGCGGGGAGGGTGGAGGGAGACAGGAGACTTCTCCGGACACAGGCTGAGGCGGGTGGGCTCACCTTGGTTTTGCGGCTGGACTCTGAGCTCAGCCCGTTTGGGGTGCTGTGGAGCTCCTTGGACACCACACACAGGAACTCTGCCTGGTCCTCGCTGCCGTAGTTGTAGGAGGAGCCGATGTTCACCAGCTAGAGGGGCGGAGCATGGGGAGAAAAATGCAGGTTGGTGTTGGGGGCCGTGGGGCAGGATACGACAGACCTCGGCACTCAAATCAAGATACCAGCTCAGGTCCTAATCTTGCGGCTTGTCGGGCCCACTCCTGGGTTTGTAGAGGGCACCTCTGGGCAGGAAGGTGGAGTCTTCCCCCTTGCAACCTGTGCCTGTGGTCTGTGCCCCAGGACCAGCCCCTCCGCCTGGCTTGGCTGGCCCGATCCCTGGTGGAGGGTGGCAGCATTACCGCTGTCCCCACCACCACCTCCAGCCTAGCCCCAGAGCCAGGGGGCCCTTTTCTAAATGCAGGCGGAGGCCTCTAAAGGGCGGCTGTCCCCCATTCCAGATGTGGCTGACACAGCCCCAGGACAAGGTTGCAGGGTGGCATTGGCAAGGTGGAGCCCCACAGAATATTCCCTTCACTCCTGGAAGCAGAGGTGGGACGACAGGTGGTCCACTCCTGAGACCAAAGGGCAAATGACCAATGGTCCCTGGCCTGCTTGCTCAGCCTCTGAGAGCCTGTGCAATTGCCAAAGACACCCAGAGGCTCTCAGAGTGGCCCTGCCCTTGTTCCAGGGTCCCTAGAATAACCACGCCCACAGAGCCCTTCTGGCTAAGAAATAAGAAAGTTCTTCCAGGTGATGAGTCTCATTCAGCTCTCAGGGACCCTGAAGAGAATCTCAGGCCTGCTGAAGGCCTCACAGCTAGGAAGGGGTGGAGCAGGGAATGGCATCGGGGATCCCAAGTCCTCTCTGAGTGTTGCAGACTTCAATATGGATTTCTAATGATTTGCATGACACTAATGCCAACATAGGGAGTCCTACGGAGGGCTGTAAGCTTTACTGATGGCCCTTCTAATCTCACAAGAGTCCTACAGAGGAGGTACTGTTAGCCCACTTCACCGATGAGGGAACTGGGTCCCGCACAGGAGATGTAACTTGCCCAAGGTGGCAGGCATGTCTGTGGCAAGGCCTAGAGGTGAAGCCAGGCCTCTGGCTCTGCACTAGGCCCATTCTTCCATCCCTCCAGGCCATCCTGGGGGCTCCGACCTTCTGCCTTGCAGTCTCCATGTGCCAGGGAACGTGTGGGTGGGCGTGGAGAAAGGCTAGCCAACCCCCTCTCCTTCTCTAAAGGCACTTTTGACCCTGGGCTCACTTTCTGGCTCTGCTCCTCTGGAAACCTGAAAGGTGGGAGGTCAGCTGCATGACTAGGGATAAAGTCCCTCGGGATAAGGATCTCCCGATGGGTAAACTGCATCTGGACTGGGAGGAACCACCGTTCACCATAAAGACCTCATGGGAAGGCACTGCTTTGGGCTCCCCTGCATGTTGCAATGCTGGCCACTGGGCATGTCCCCTGCGGAGACCCTGAAAACTGTGTCAGGAACTGCTATGATCGCATGATGCTGACTCTGAGTTCTAAGAGGTACTGACTCAATGTGGACTCCACTCACCTATGTGGATCTGGTCTCCTTGCACCTGAGCTGTCCTTCGGGGGCCACAGACTCACTCATGCCACCAGATAGATCACCACCCAGTTGCTGTGAGGACTCCCACCAACAAGGACACCCCGTGCTGTCCTATGGCCACTGGGGCTCCTATCCTCTCTCTCGGTCAACCTGCCACCAAGTGTGGTCTCTCCTAACCTTGTTTAATTTGATTTCAGAAGAACCCTGGGGTTGGGGGAGACTGTGGTGGGGAACCCAAGGCTGGGGCTGCAGGAAGGGAGGGGCCTGCTTGGTCAGAGGCTAGGAGGTCCCAGGGTTGTCCTGGTGGCACGCCCCTGTCCCCAGCGCACCTGCTCGAAGCGCCAGCCATCAGACATGGTGGAGACCATTTGCGTGAGCTCCTCCTCCTGGCACTGCAGCACGCGGTACACGTGCTTGGGTGGGACCTGTGGGCAGAAGGGTCACATAGAGGGCACCTGTGGGAGCACCAGGCACCCCAGGAGGGGCATGAGCACCTGCTGCCACCACCCCCGCAACATACCCAAAGAAGAAGAGAGGGAGAGAAAGAAGAGGTGGTTGGGGGGAGGCAGCCATGCTCTGAGCACCTGCTCCTCACCAGGCATTTACCAGGCACCATCTCACTTAATCCTTCCAAGAATCCTAGGCATTACGGGACTTTCCATTGAGGCTCAGAGAGGTCCAGTTACTTGCCCAAGGTCACCCAGCTCAAGGGTGAAGGAGACAGAACCGGAACACGGGTAATTCAAGAAAGAACATGGGTGGGGCTTAGGGAACATTCTGGGTCACCCTCAAGGAGTCAGGCCCTCAAGGAGACACGGAGCCTCCCCTCTTTAATCCCCTGGGCCTGAGAAATGGTTCCTCACTACCTGTCCCCCAACCCTCACACATCCCCCAGAGTAGGCGGAAAATCTCTTTCCCTCCTCCTGCAGACTGGCCAGGGAGGCCCAGGCTCCAAGGTCACAAACGCCAGCCCCAACAGCCTGTGCCGAGCCCACCAGGCGACCATCTGATGCCACAAAAGGCACAATTTGCTAATCCTGCATTTTCCTCTGCAGGGCACCCTGTACCTCCACACTGACCCCCTTCTGCCTATGAGGAAGGGATGGGTGTGCCATTCCCACCCCTCTCTATCCCATAAGAGAAAATCAAGGTCCGGAGAGGGCGAGCCTGGCCCAACACACAGCAAATGGGGCTGAGACAGGGACTGAACCCCAGTGTCCGTCTCCGAGTCTGGGGCTGTGCTGGGCAGCCTGTCAGCCCAACCATGCCTCTCCTTACAGGCCAGCTCGGCCTCCCCATGACAAACACTGGTCCTGTCTCTCCCAACCTCCTCTGCTTCCCGCCCCGTCTCTCAGCCTCTCTCTCCCCACTGGCCCCTGCCCTGGCCGTGTGTGCTGCCCCTGCTCCCGACCTGGGTGACCGTGTAGTCCTTCTCTTCCATCCGGTCTTTGATGATGCGGATCAGCGGGCCGATGTTGTAGAACTCGGCTTCCTCCAGGACCCCTGGCACAGACAGAACAGATCCCAGGTCACTCCTTCTGCCTCCATGCCCCATTCTCCTCTTGTTCCCTCCACCCCGAAACCCACCTCTCGCTCTGATCACCCGCCCTGAGGGTGAGCTGAGTGTCTGTGAGTTCAGGGGTCAAGTAAGAGGGAGCATTTCTTTCCTTGGATCCCACACTTCCTGTGGAAGGGGCTGAGGGGCTGCCACACAGCTCTGCTGTGCTGAGTGCGGTGACCCAGGGGTACCTGCCAGGCCACCGTCTGGGGCAGCTTTAGGGCTATCAAGAGACAGCAGGGTCATTGGGACTGATCCCCAGAATGTCACCATGAGCAGGGCCTTGCCTGACCCCTGATTATGTGCTCCTATTTATTAAGCACATTCTAAGTGCCAGGTGCATTACATTTTTGAATTCTCAGAACTAGAAGGAGGTACTTTCATCATCTGCATTGAACAACTGGGAAAACTGAGGCTCCCAAAGAGAAGCAGCTTGTCCAAGGTCACACAGCTGGTAAGTGCCAGAGGGAACTCAAGCGCTGCAGACTCCAGAGCCCATGTCTCCCCACTGTAAGCACATACCCTTGTGTCCATGCATTCCCCCAACTGCCTCACCTTACAGTTTGCAACACCCTGCACGAGCTCATCACAAGTCCAGGGATATGAGGAGAGCAGGCATTACTGTCCCCATCTTACAGTTAAGTTAATCTGGGAGATGAAGAAGTCAGCCCACCAGTGAAGCGATGAGCTTGCAGCTGTTTCGACTCCCCTAGGCTCCCAGAAGGCAGGGGACCTTTGGGCCCTTTCCTTGACTGGCCTCTGGGCTCCCTGGGGACAGAGCTCATTATGAGCAGAATGTGTGTGTTCCCCAAAAATCCACCTGCTGAAAACTGTGATGGGATTAGGAGGGGAGGTAATGAGATCATGGGGGTAGAGTCCCCAGGGTAGGATCAGTCTTCTTATAAGAAAGGCTAATTGGATGTGAGGGCGATCTGGCGGGGACATCTGTCACTCCACTGATCACCAGGGTTGATTTAGCTGATCTGGCTGGCTAGATGTGTGTCCCCTTCCTCCCTCACTGCTCCAGGTGTGTCCCTCCCGAAGCTGTGAGCTCCATCGAAGGGGGCGACCACCCCCGATAGAGGAGGACCGGACTTTGGTCAAGGGTATGTGAGTAGCTGCGCTCCCCTGCTAGAACCTCCAAACAAGCTCTCGAGAAGGGGCGGGCGAGGGCTAGCTCCCTCTCTTTCTGCCATGTGAGGACACAACGAGAAGTCAGCAGTCTGCAATCCGGAAGAAAGTCCTCACCAGAACCTGCCACAGTGCCCCGATCTCGGGTTTCTAGCCTCTAGGACCAAGAGAAATAAATTTCTGATTTTCATAAGCCACCCAATCTATGTTACTTCATGATTGCAGCCTGAAATGGCTAAGATGGGGCTCACATTTCTGATCTGCCCTCTGTCCCCGGTGCCCACACAGGACCAAACACAGAGCAGGAGGTCAGGGAGTGCAGCTGCCTGATTACGAGAATTATCCCCAGTGCCCTGGGCGGAGCCCTGCAGGTGACAGACAGCTAGCACTGCATCCCACATCCTCCGGCCAGGAACTGAGCTCCATGCTGCACTATTAACTCCTTTTATCCTCATGACAGCTCGGTGAGGTGGGTGCTATGGTCCCCCATTTCACAGATGGGGGCATGCAGACACAGAGGGGTTAGGTCACTTTCTCAGTGTCACACAGCTAGTAAGTCTCCTCTCAGATCCCCTATCCCCTGGATGAGCCCTAGCCCTGTGTATCCCCTAGCCCCCGGATAGCCCTGCGTGATCCCCTAGCCCCCGGATAGCCCTGTGTGATCCCCTAGCCTCCGGATAGCCCTGTGTGATCTCCTAGCCCCCAGATAGCCCTGTGTGATCCCCTAGCCCCCAGATAACCCTGTCTGATCCTCTAGCCCCCAGACAGCGCTGTCTGACGGTGTGGGAATAGCAGGGCTTTGAGAATGCAGGGCGTGTAAACAGGTGCTGGCTGCGACGCAGCTGGGGTGTTTACTTCCCTCCCGATGGGGCCTGCTCCTGAGCCTAGGCCACGCCCATGGTATCTGTGCTCCCCTAGGGATTAACAGGCAAGCTGTGGGGCTCTGCAGGGCCAGGCACCTACAGTGGACTCTGGTGTTGTGGCCCTGACCTATTAGAGAGTTGCTGGGCCTCCAGACCACTGTGTCCCATAGGGCTCAGGGAGGGCAGACCATGGCCCAGAGCAGGAAGGCACGCACAGGTGCAGGATTTATGACATCTCCCTCCAGAAGGCAGATCACCGCCCCCATTGAATAGATACCAGTGGAGACGCAGTGAGGAGAAGTGACATATTCAAGCTGGTCTGGCTGGATCAGCTGACCCAGAGCCACACCCTGTGTCCCAAAGAAGAGTTAACTTGGCACTGACTGTAGTCCTTGCCCCTGGCTGCAGCTCTGCTAACAGGTCGTTCTCCCAGACATGGCCTCCCCACTGTTTGTTAGGCCCGGATATGGGCATATCCAGGGCCTCGGCCACCTAGGCCTGGGGATAACCAAAGCCCCACTGGGAAGCAGACTCCCCCCTCTCCTGCCTCCACCCACAGCCAGCACTGTGCCGCACAGGCTGCCAGACTTAGTGAACAGTCACCCGCTCCACCCACTTACAAGCCCTCACCAGGCAGAATTTGAGATACTGGATCAGCCAGAGAAAGAGAGACAGAGCTCTCCCCATGCCTGTCAACACTGCATTCCTGTCACCCCAGCCTCCGGATGTGACCGTCCACACCTGGCTTCCTAGGAGGCCAGAGAGAAAGGGCGTCACAGCCCACAGCAGAGGCCACAGGGCCTCGCTGACTTCCTCTATCCCCTGCACATGTGTCTCTTCACCTCCCTGACAGTACCCAGGGAAAGCTTGAGCCCGTCCGCTTGGCAGAGCCCCAGGCTCGGCACAGGCAGATGCTTGGGAATCAGCCCCGTCCGACTGGGAAGAGGCAGGAAACAACCAAGCAGGCAGATGGCCGTCCTGGTTGTCCAAATGGCTTGGGGCCTCCACAGAGGGCCCTGGCAGGCTGCATAAGGTCCAGGCCAGCCCCCTGGACCAACTCACCCTCCTCAGCCATGTCCTTGTCCAGCACCAGCTTGCCATGCCGGAGGAAGTTCAGGATGGGCCCGAAGTAGGTGGGGTCACGGTCAATGAGGTAGGCCCCGGTCTCATCCTATGGAGGTGAGGGATGCTCGGTGAGAGAAGAGTGAGGCTTCTCCCCAGCCAACCCCGCACACGCACAGGGAGGGAAGGAGAGTGGAGGGAGAGCTCTTCCCTGGATGGAGCAGGCACAAAGTAGCAAAAAGGCACTGGGGTCAGATGGACCTGAGTTCAAGCCCTGCTTCTGACTCTTCCTGAATGTGTGACCTTAGGCTAATGATTTGGCCTCTTTGAAACTCACTCCTCTCCCCCTAATCAGGGTTTGCTGTGAGCATCCGGTGAGAGGATGTCTGAGTGGCAACTGGCCCAGCACAGGGCTCGAAGAATGTCCCTCTGAGAGGCTGTCCCCTGAAGCCAGCCCCACTGTCGCCCCCAGGTCCCTAGGCTTTCAGGGGATGTTTACAAGTTTCCAAAGGAGTCACTATCTCACTGGACACTCGGGCGGGCAGGGAGGCAGGGTGGGCTTCCATGCGACTCTACAGAGAGATCGGAGACATTGAGAGGTGAGGCGACTTGCCAAAGGCCACAGCATCGGAGGGTCACGGATGGGGGACAGGAGACCTTAGAGGTCATCTTCAGACCAGCCCTTCGTGTTACAGATGAGGAAGGAGGCTGAGCGCAGTGCAGGGAAGGGTCCGACTCAAGGTCGCGGCAGGCAGTGTGCAGCAGAGTCAGGGTGGGTGCTCAGAAATAGTGCCCGCTGGGCCAACGCTCCTTCTAGATTCAGCCCGCTCAGAAGGCGCCCCAGGGCTCCTCCATCCAGCTAGCTCCCTGCACCCCTCCGCCACCCACATCCCAAAGAGCGGGAGAAGTAGCCTCGTCGACTCCTTCCCCAGAGCAGGAGTCCCCTTTGGGAGGGAGGAAAGGTCCCAGGTCTCTCCCTGTCCACAGCCCCAAAGGAGAAGGAGAGGCCCCGATCCGGGGCGGCTGGAGAGCTTCTAATGGCCGCGGCCTGCGTCGTCCCGTTGCCACGGCAATGGGTACATCCCTCACTACCAGACCCACCTCCCCCTCCCCTCCTCCTGCCGCTTCTTCCCGCCTCCAGTTCCTCGGAAATGAACCCGGCCGGGTCCCCAGCCTGGCGGGCGAGCCAGGCCCGACAGCCCCGCGTCGGGCGAGCGGAGGACCCACCGCCCGCTCGCCGCCCACCCCGGGGGCCTCACCCGGTCCGACTGCAGCTCTTCCCCCTGGCACAGGCGGCTGAGGAAGGACTTCTGCTCGCGGCACAGCGTCTGCCGGGTGGTCAGGAACACCGTGCCCCCCACGTTGAGCCGCACCCACTTGCCCCAGCCGCCTGCGGCGCGGCCGCCCGCCCCCGCCGGCGGCGCTGCCTCCCCGGCCTCCATCCTCATCGCCGGCCGCGGCGTCTGCATCCTCCTCCCGGGCGCTGGGGGCGGGCGGGGACCGCACGCGGGGCAGGCCGGGAGCTGTAGTCCGCGCCTCCTGGCTCCGCGTGGGCCGCGGGTAGGGTCCCGCCCCGCGCTGCTCCCGCCCCCGGTCCCGCCCCGCTTCGCCCTTCCCCGCAGGCCCGCAGTCTGGGGTGGTGAAGATGCCCTCTGGCCAAATCACTGTGTATGGGGAAGGTCGAACTCCCGGCCTCTGGGAAAAGAATGAGGGCTTCCCCAAATCTGCAGTCATCCCATGGGTCCGAGCATTCTTGTTTTTCCTTTGTGCCGTCTCCGTCGTCCAACAGCTGATAAGGGAAGAAACTTTCCCCTCCAGGAATCCCCATAGCATTGACCCGCATGTGTTTCGTCATATTTTTTCATTTGCCCTTTGTGTGTATAGGGGTGGGGGCGGGGTGGGTGGGAGTGGGTTCTTTCCCTCACCTGAGTTCTTGGAGAACGACATAGCTGGACTTGAGGTTGGCTGAGCACCTGTATGCCAGACACTTTGTGTATATGTGTTATGAATTTAAGCTCTCAGCAGCCCTGTGAGTCTGGTATTTTGGGCTATACCCATTTTACAGATGAAGCCACAGAAGCGAAGTGACCGCCCTACTCACATTGCTGGTGAGTGAGTACCCACCAAGGTCTCTTTCCTGCTCCCTGACCATGGAATGTCAGGGATCCTTGGGAAAGACTTCTAAGGAGGAAGAGTAGAGCACGCCCTGGATCCGAGTCAGGAGAACTGAGTTTCCATTCTGGCTTTTGGCCTTTCTCAGTTTTTCCACGTCCTCCCTAAGAAGGAGGAGGGATTGGTTCTGCGGGTGGCTTTCTGAGTTATTCCCCAGTTAACTCGGAGGGGAACCGTCATTCTGTGGACCTCAGGATGGGGGAAGGGAGCAGTTCCTCATGTGGTCCGGGACCAGGGAGGGACAAGGGCTGACGAGGAAGCTGTCTCCTTAGCTTCCTCTCCTTACTGGTTTCAGTCCTGGTCCTGGCCTATGGGGGAGAGGTCTGGGGCTCCTCTCACTGATCCAATGTCACACGCAGCTGGCCCGAACACTGGGCAGCCTGGCCCTGTGCTGGGAGAAGTTTCCCTGTTACCACCCAATGCCCTGCTTTCTGCATAAAGCTTTTCTCCTTGGCAGGGAGTGGATCAAAGGTGTACTGGAATCCTGCTACTTAAAATTCACTAGGTGTGTCCTGAGCAACTTCCTCTCTGAGATTGGCTTTCTCTCTTGCCAAATGGGATTTACAACAGTTGTGACCCCAGAGCATTGCTGTGAAGATTAAGTTATGAAATGTCTATAAACATCTAGCGTAGGCTGGGTGCGGTGGCTCACACCTGTAATCCCAGCACTTTGGGAGGCCAAGGCTCGCTTGAGCATAGAAGTTCAAGACCAGCCTGGACAGCATAGTGAGACCCCTATCTCTCTCTCTCTCTCTCTCTCTCTCTCTCTCTCTCTCTTTTTCTTTTTTGAGATACAGTCTCACTCTCTCACCCAGACTGGAGTGCAGTGGCACCATCTCAGCTCACTGCAACCTCTGCCTTCTGGGTTCAAGCAATTCTCATGCCTCAGCCTCCTGAGTAGCTGGGATGACAGGCATGCACCACCACGCCTGGCTAATTTTTGTATTTTTAGTAGAGATAGGGTTTCACCACGTTGGCCAGGCTGGTTTTGAACTCCTGAGCTCAAGTGATCCTCCTACTTTGGCCTCCCAAAGTGCTGGGATTACAGGTGCGAGCCACTGCGCCTGGCCCCCATCTCTATTTTAAAAAAATAAAACGATAGAAAACCAAAAAACAGCCGGTGGCTCACGCCTGTAATCCTAGCATTTTGGGAGGCCGAGGCAGGCAGATCACAAGGTCAGGAGTTCGAGACCAGCCTGGCCAACATGGTGAAACCCCTTCTCTACTAAAAATACAAAAATTAGCCGGGCATGGTGGCTCACGCCTGTAGTTCCAGCTACTCAGGAAGCTAAGGCAGGAGAATCACTTGAACCCGGGAGGTAGAGGTTGCAGTGAGCCAAGATCATGCCATTGCACTCCAACCTGGGTGACAGAGTGAGACTCCGTCAAAGAAAGAGAGAGAGAGAGGAAAGGAAGGAGGGAGGGAGGGAAAGAAAGAGGGAGGGAAGGAGGAAGGAAGGAAGGAAGGAAGGGAGGGAGGAAAGAAAGAAAACAAAAAAAAACACCTAGCACAGTCCCTGGCATTTACTATGTTGAATGCATGAATGGGTGAATGAGATGGGATGTGAAGTGGCCTTGAAAGACTGGCAGGACTGCTGGCACTTAGTGAGGCCTTGACCATTGTCAGCTAAAGCAAAACTAGAGCAGGAGATACTTATTCTTTCACGCAAGGGTGGCAGGCAGGGGAGTGACACGGTCAGATTTGCAATGTGGATCACCCTTAGGTTGCTGGGAGGGTGGTTTGAAGCACCAGTTAGAAGAGAGACCAGTTAGAAGACCACCTACATCTGGGTCAAGAGTAGGGGGAGCCCAGGCCAGGCACAGTTACTCACACCTGTAATCTCAGCACTTTCGGAGGCCAAGGAGGACGGATCACCTGAGGTCAGAAGTTCGAGACCAGCCTGGCCAACATGATGAAACCCTGTCTCTACCAAAAATATAAAAAATAAGCCAGGTGTGGTGGCGCACACCTGTAATCCCAGCTACTTGGGAGGCTGAGGCAGGAGAATTGCTGGAACCCGGGAGGCAGAGGTTGCGGTGAGCTGAGATTGCGGCATTGCACTCCAGCCTGGGCAACAAGAGCAAAACTCCGTCTTAACAACAACAACAACAAAGTGTCAGAGAAAAGGGCCCAGGGAGGGTCTTGGGAGGTGGGGAGAGGGGAGGGTGGGGTGAGAGGGGAAAGAAGAAAGAGCAAAGCTGTATGGGGAAGAATGAGGGCATTCCAGAGGCCAGCTGTGGGCCAGTTGGAATGAAACAAGGAGTTCACCTGAGGAGAAGTTGGGAAGGTGTCAGATGCAGTGGCTCACGCCTGTAATCCCAGCACTTTGGGAGGCCGAGGTGGGAGGATCTCTTGAGCCTAGGAGTTCAAGACCACCCTGGACAACATAGCAAGACCCCCGTCTCTACAGAAAATTTAAAAAAATTAGCCAGGCTTGGTGGCATGTGCCTGTAGTCCTAGCTACTGGGAAGACTGGGGTGGGAGGATACCTTGAGTCCAGGAGATCGAGGCTGCAGTGAGCCATGATCGCACCACTGCACTTCAGCCTGCGTGACAGAGTGAAACCCTGTCTCAAAAAAAAAAAAAAAAAAAAAAAAAGTCAGGAAGGTGAGGAACAGCTCCCATGCTTCCTGGGCCAGCTGCTGCCCACCTAGGGTTGCCTCTCTGTACTGAGGCGTGTGGATGCTACAGCAGGACTTGGACAGCACCGAGTCTTTCAGCAAAGGAGGAGTGTCATCAGTGTGGCATTTGGGGAATCTTAACCTAGCGTTGGTGCCAAGATAGATAGTTGGGGTGGGGGACAGCCCAGGGGCAGGGAGGGAGAAAGGGGGAGGGAAGGGTAAGAGCCAACATTTACATTGTGGGGGACCTACCCAGAGACCACCCCCACTTCCAGTAGCACCATTTTCTGGTCTGTTTCCCTCACTCTACAGTGTGAGCTCCCTGAGGACAGGCCCTGTCCCCACTCTGCCATATTGCAGGTGTCAAACACTGGGCCTGACTTTGGGAGGGGGATGAATGGAACAGAAACCCAAATACACTGGGAATATCTTTAGGGCAGAGATGGAGTCTTCTTCCTTCATGCTGTATTTCCGTGTTATTTTATTTTTTTCTATTTATTTATTTATTTAGAGACCGAGTCTCACTCTGTCAACCAGGCTGGAGTGCAGTGGTGCGATCTCAGCTCACTGCAACCTCCGCCTCCTGGGTTCAAGCGATTCTCCTGCCTCAGCCTCACGGGTAGCTGGGATTACAGATGTGCAACACCACACTTGGCTAATTTTTTTTTTTTTTTATTTTTAGTACAGATGGGGCTTCACCCTGTTGGCCAGGCTGGTCTCAAACTCCTGACCTCAGGTGATCCACCTGCCTCGGCCTCCCAAAGTGTTGGGATTACATGCATGAGCCACTGCGCCCGGCCTACTTTTTTCTTGAGACAGAGTCTTGCTCTGTCACCCAAGGTTCAAGAAATTCTCCTGCCTCAGCCTCCTGAGCAGCTGAGACTACAGGCACCCACCACCATGCCTGGCTAATTCATATATTTGTATTTTTTAGTAGAGATTGGGTTTCACCATATTGGCCAGGCTGGTTTGTAACTCCTGACCTCAAGTGATCCGCCAACCTTGGCCTCCCAAAGTACTGGAATTACAGATGTGAACACCTGGCCCCATATTATTTTATTTCACTGCTTCATGCTTCCCATGTGCCAGACACTGTCCTAAGTGCAACGCCACACGTACCATGTGTATCCAACGAAGACAAGTTTACCATCTGCTATGTGCCACAGACCGTGTCCCAGGCATCCTGTGACAGCAGGATCAGCAGCTGTCATTTATTGAGGGTTTGTTCTGGACCAAGTAGCGCCCATGTGTTTTTCCTGTAATCCTCACAGCAAGCCAATGAGATCCATCTTGTTCCCACCCCCATCTTACAGAGGGTGAGGTCATGGCTCAGAGACCAGAGGTCCCTACTAGGTCGTGCTGGAAATGGCTACTGAGAACTGCGCTGGCCTCAGAGCCTGGTCTTGCTGGATCTGAAGTCACAGCTGATAACCATTCTGCTCTCCAGCCTCCCATGGAACCCCACAGCACCCTTGCGGCAGGTGCTCTTGACAGCACATTACAGATGAGAAAACTGCAGTCCCACAGCTGGTCCAACACAGGCCTGTCTGAGCCTGGGGCAGGGCTGGTCTCCGCCGTCCCACAGGCACTGCCCTTTTAGATACAGCCCTGGAGTGCCAGGTGGGGACTTGGCCAGCACCTTTGGTCCCAAAATGGAGGGAAAGGCTTTGTCTGGGCCAGTCTCACTCCCCGTCCTTTCCACAGAGACCCCAACCTATCCCTGGACACAGCGCTCTGCTCAGCAAGCTCCTAAAATGCTCCCATCTGAAGCCACAACCTCACTGGCGAGGGCCACAGCCAACAGCCAGGTGGCAAGACCTGGGACCCTTAAATAGAGCCGACAGATGCCACCATATCCCTGCCCGTGCCTGGGCTTTGTCCGGATGAAGCCATGTTTGGGTTGGGAAAAGGTGCACCCACCTCTGAAAAGGATGCTTGGCCCCTCCCCACAACCGGCCTGGCATTCAGGCCATCGCTGGGCTTGCTGGGTACCCACTATATAAACCAGACATTGAAACACAGAGGTGAAGCTGCCAGAGGTGGCCTCTGCCCTAGGGAAGGCTTTGGTTTGGGGTAGGTGGGTTTGGGAGGCTTGGACAAAATATGGAATTCCGTATCAGCAGTCATGGACTGTCACTCTGCATAGATTGTTGCATGTCTTCCTCATTCAGAGGATAATGATAAAACTCCAGACATTCCTTAGCTGCTTTTCAGGGTGATGGTTAAACTGGAGGAGGGCCAGATTTCAAATGCCTGCTGGTTACACCGCCCCCTGATGTCTTCTTCTGGGAAGAGCAGCCTCAAGTATTTTTTTTTTCCTTTCGTTCTTTTATTCCCCCTCCAACCACAAGACCACTAGGGATCAGGTGCTTTGGTGCTTTTTATTTTTATTTTTTATTATCATTTTTTAAAGATGGGGTCTCGCTATGTTGGCCAGATTGGTCTTGAACTCCTGACCTCAAGCGATCATCCCACCTCAGCCTCCCAAAGTGCGGGGATTACGGGCATGAGCCACCACGCACGTCCCATTCAGTGCTTTTTAATATGGCTCTGGACTCCACTTGAAAGTGAAATAGAACAGAGATATGGTTAAGGGGTACAGGCCCCCAGACAAGGATGCTAGCCAAGGCTTCGTGGTTTATCAGTTGGGTAACTTTTCAAAGTCATTTAACCTCTCTGAACCTCAGTTTCCCCATTTCTAAATTAAGAACAGTAATAGTGCTTACCTCTTGCAGCTGTTGTGAGGATTTAAAGAGCTAGCAGGTGGAGGGCACTCGCCAGGCCACCTGTGTGAAGACCAGGGAACGCTGGCTTTGGTGAAGCCAGTCCTGCCACCCTGTCTATCATTGCCTGGACCCAAGATCAGTGCCTGATGCAAAGGCTGCCCCTTAAACATCCATTTCTCTTTGGTCAGGGAAGAACCAAGCCCACCAACTCCCCCTTCCTGGGGTTGGAGGGAAAGGTAGAGAGAAAGGCCACCCTAGATGACCCCAGCTCCAGAGCAGGCTGGCTGTCATTTCCTCATGTCACCCCCCCCACCCCTCTGTGACCTAGAATGGCCCAGGAGTTTTTTTTTTTTTTTCTGCTCCAGATAGAGCTGAAAGAACACAAGATACATCCTGAAGTTCTCACCTGAGCGCATCACTGAGTCCTGTTTTGAACCTTCTCAGCTTAGCAGCAGTCTCTGCCTCACTTCTGAGTGGCCTGTTTCACAGCTCCTGTCAGTTCCATGACTAAGACGTCATTCATCCCTGCTGGGTTTTTGGTTTCAGTTCTCTTCCCCAGATTGAGCACATCAGAACATTCTGATCAGCCATTTTCTGTTCTTTATGTCAAATCCAATCCTATCACTGCCTGGGGCCAATTCTGTTACTTATCCTTGATGTGGGGGTGTTTGGTTTTGAGCCTCTGCACCTTTTCAGGTCACTTGAGGAGAGAAACGGGCATATCCGATCAGAGAGAGTGTTTCCTGACCAGCCAGAGCTATGGGTACATGAGATCAGGCTTCCAGAGGCCCACGGCCCAGGGTTTGAATCTCTACTCCGGGTTGGGACCCTGACTCATGACACCTTGTTAGTTAGTTATGCAACCTCTTCAAACCGTTTGCAATATTTACATTGTAATGTAATTCATGCTTATTAGTGCTATTGCACACAGTGAATATTAGCCATTATCACCGAGCATCTATTATGTGTTAGGTCCTGGGCTGGAAGCATCATTCTCAGAGAGGCTAGATATGGGTCCATAGACCTGAATATTTGACAACCCTTTCATGATATGACGGTGACCCTGGAGTCTGCAGACATTACAGGCCCTCTCTGTGAGCTCTTCCAGGGGAGAGTCCCTGTCTCCTTCGTTTCTGAAAGTCTAAAGCTCAGCACTTGTGACAGGTTTGGAAATGTCTGGCCCCAGCCTCTCCTCCAGCTCCTTCTACCCTCCACCCCGTCTCTGTTTCCTCCCTGGTGGGAGTGGGGATGCGGGTAGAAGGAAGGGCAGGAATGTCTGGAGGAAAGGGTGCCTTCTCTAATTTGCACAAAGATGCAGTGGGGGCGGCAGTGATGCTGGCCCCTTGGGTCCCTGCTGGACCACCTGGGCCCCGGGCTCGGCTCCCTTCAGCCAGCAGGGTGGGGCTCAGCGCGCTCCCAGCCTGACCTGACTGGGCGGGAGAGTGGCTGGAGACTCCTCTTCACCAGCAGGGGGTGCGCCTGCCTGCTGAGGTCCTTGGGGAGTGTCTTGGACAGCAGCCCCAGAGCACCTGCCTGCCTATGTGTCTGCTACTGCTGATTCCTTTTGCAGAAGCTCAGCTCTTGGGACTGAGGCCATGGCAGCCGGCCTCTCACCAGCCTCCCCTCCCCAGGACTCCCCTCTCCTGCCTCAACGTCTGCTTGGCTCCAATGCATGTAATTCCACAGCTTGATGGCACAGAACCAGGGACCTACCGTCTGTCCCCCTGGGCCCCGTGGACTCTGCCCCTGCTGCCAGAGGGACGTTTATGAGTACTTCCGTGTGCCAGGGACTGCACCAAGCACTTTTGTGGATGATCTCTTTTAATCGTAACCCAACAGGGAGATGTGGCCGTGATCTCACTTTACAGAGGAGGAGCCCAAGGAGTGCTCTGTGCTGCTCTGGCCCCAGCCTGTCCTCCAGCTCCTTCTACCCTTTGATCCCCCCTCTGTTTCCTCCCTCGAGGGAGTGGGGATGCAGGTAGAAGGAAGGGCAGGAAAGGTTTTCCTTGCCTGGCGTCCTTTGTTCTCTGGTGTGGCTTTGCTGTGGCCGGAGCAGATGTTTCAAGCTGGCTCCTTGTTTTCTGGCAGGTTGTTTTGAGGGTTCTTTGGTGCCCCCATTGCTGGGAGTAGCTCCTACTACAGGTCTCTTCCTGGGCAGTGTCTTCTCTGGTTCGCCCCTTGGGATGCTCCCCAAGGATCAGCTTCCTGGGTTCCACCGTCCACCCACTCCCCAACCCCGCTTCCAGCCTCTGTGCACTCATGCACCAACTCCCCATCTGGACAGCTCCAAGCCATCTCCTTTCGGCCAGCTCTCAGCTGGGCCCAGAAAAGCCTGCAGGCAGGCCCCACCCTGACAAGACTCACAGCACATGTGCCTCCTGACCCCAGCAAGGAGCAGCTGGCAGGATGCAGGCTTTTCCAGGCAAGGGCCCACCCAGCCTCTGAGACCCCCAGAATCCAGGACACATGGGTGAAGCTCCGCAGATGGCCTCCTTGAAGCCCTCTCACTCAGCCTGTGGAGAGGGGAGGCACCCCATGCACCTCCTCCATGGGACAGCACCCCAACATCTGCCACCAGAGAAAGCATCCTCTACCTTCCTGCTGCTCCTGGTGGCAGCTCTCCTATCTCTGCCGGGGGCAGGAGAGGTGTGGGTCAGGGGGTGGTCGTAGGGTTCTACGACTAGCTCTTAACCACTTCAGTAGCAAGAAATGCTTTCGAGAGTCCAGCACCTCACCTTGTTTTAGAATGTGGGGTCAGCCAGGCGCAGTGGCTCATGCCTGTAATCCCAGC